>NC_000012.12:75944976-76096491 GCF_000001405.40 Homo sapiens
CAGGAGTTGAAGACTAAATTTGAAGAGTAAAGTAGGAAGGAAGAGAGCAGGTACGTAGAAACCGAAGGACATTCCTATTACCTTGGGAGCTCTAGAGGCCTGATTCATCCTTTCTCTAAGCCCTTCATATGAAACTATGTCCGGCAAAGTCTCAGACTCACCCAACCCTTCCCATGTCCACATTCACAGCTAACAGGAGCCACCAGCACCAAAGTTTAAAGGCCTTGGGAGGCCTGACATAATACAACAATATTTTATTGAGTACCTACTATGTGCTAAGCACTGTGCTAGGTGCCAAGGTTACAACCATAAGCAAAATAATAGATCATTTTCCATTCTCTGGGTGCTACAGTTCAATGGGAGACACTGACAGAGTGGTGCTTCCAATGCCAATGCTAAATGCTCTAATGTGGGTGGAGGAGGTGGAACAGGTTATTCTGAGAGCTCAAGGAAGGGCGAAGGGGACAATCTTCTCAGGAAATAGTGTCCTCCAAGCTGAGACCTAAAGGATGAAGTGGAAGCAAAGAAAAGACTTCCAGAAGGGGAGACTCAAGAGAAAGCCGGAGCTTTGACTCTGGGTATACAGAAAAACTGGAATGCCTTAGATCCATCTCATACAAGAAAGGAAACCGTGTCACCTCAGAATGGAGTGTTTTTCTCTTTTTAGTGTTTTATTAAGTAATCCTCCTCATGGGTTGTGAGGAAAACCCTACCCAGGAAGCAGCAGTCTTTTGCTCTCTCAACAAGAATTTTCCCTAACTTTGCTTATCTGGTAATTGGTGAATCTGAAGATTGTTCTTATCTGATAAGATTTCAGAGTATTAGGAAGACATTCCAATTCTTCCTGACTTTATCAAAAATGTTTTTGAATGTACTGTTAAGACTAGATACGTGGGCCGGGCATGGTAGCTCACGCCTGTATTCCCAGCACTTTGGGAGGTGGGCAGATCACAAGGTCAAGAGATCCAGACTATCCTGGCCAACATGGTGAAACCCTGTCTCTACTAAAAATAAAAAAAATTAGCTGGGTGTGGTGGCACTCGCCTGTAGTCCCAGCTACTCAGGAGGCTGAGGCAGGAGAATTGCTTGAACTTGGGAGGCAGAGGTTGCAGTGAGCCGAGATCGCACCACTGCACTCAAACCTGGCGACAGAGCGAGACTCCATCTCAAAAAAAAAAAAAAAAAAAAAAAACTACACATATGATGGCCGGGCACGTGGCTCACTTCTGTAATCCTAGCACTTTGGGAGGTCGAGGCGGGTGAATCACCTTGAGGTCAGGAGTTCAAGATCAGCCTGGCCAACATGGTGAAACCCTGTCTCTACTAGCAATACAAAAATTAGCTGGTTATGGTGGTGCATGCCTGTAGTCCCAGCTACTCAGGAGGCTGAGGCTCGAGAATCGTTTGAACCTGGGAGGCAGAGGTTTCAGTGAGCAGAGATCATGCCACTGCACTCCAGCCTGGGCGACAGACTGAGTCTTCTTCTCAGAGAAAAAAAAAAGAAAAGACTAGATATGTGATTATCACATGCACAAAATAAATAAATTTAAAAGCACATATATAGGCACATGGAAACAAAGTTAAAAACAGAGTCGTAGGACAACATAGGTGAAATTCTAAAAATAATAACAACAAACATTTATTGAATGCTTGTCCTGTATCATCTACATTTTCTAATTTTTTTATATATGTTATGTCAATTACTGCAATTTACATAGTACAGTTAACCCTTGAACAACACGGGTTTGAATCCTGCAGGTACATTTATGTGCAAATTCTTGTCAATAAATATGCTTGGCCCTCCATATCAGGTTATGTATCTGCAACCAAACAGTATTTGTGGGATGCAAATATGGAGGGACAGCCAGCTTTTCTTACCCACAGTTCTGCAGGGCCCACTGCAGATCTTAAGCATGCATGGATTTTGGTATCCACAGGCAGTCTTGGAATCAATTTTCCTGTGAATACCAAGGCAAGACTATTATAGGTTCTACTGATATCTCTATTTTACATATGGGTTAACTAAGGCACAGAGAGTTTAAGCAACTTGCCCAAGATCATACAGCTAGTGTAGAATCAGGATTTGAACTCAGAGTCCATGAGTTTATCTGCAAAGAAAGCCAATCAGGGCAAAGATACCGGCCAGTTCTATGTGGGCTGGAGCTAAACTGAAAGTCTCTCTATCTACCAAGTATCTTAAGCAACACAAACTGTACCTGTTCCACCTGTTAAATCCTGAAGGCTGAAAACTCCTGAAATGTCCAGATCCCTTCCCAAATTCCTTGAACTATGTTATTTCCTTTGGGAACCCCTACATTCTTTCATAAAAAAGAACAGGTCTGATGTGGTGACTCACATCTGTAACCCCAGCACTTTGAGAGGTCAAGGCTGGAAGACTGCTTGAGGCCAGGAGTTTGAAACCAGCCTGAGCACCATAGCGAGGCCCAGTTTCCACAAGAAACGAAATTATTTTAATTAGCTGAGCATGGTCACACATGCCTATGTCCCACCTACTCAGGAAGCTGAGGTGGAAAGATCACTTGAGCCCAGGAGTTTAAGGCTGCAGTGAGCCATGATCCTGTCACTGTGCTCCAGCCTGGGCAACAGAGCGAGACCCTGTCTCTATTTAAAAAAAAAAAAGTAAGAAAAGAATAATTTTTGGTCACTGGAACTGTTGCTTCAGGATGACCATGATTACGTTAGATTCATCAAGTTCTTCACACAAAACATGTTAAGTTTGCTTTTCTGAGGAACATTCAAAATAATTTTAAGTGAATACTAAATCTTTACTTGAAGGAATTAAGGCAGCTAGTTGTAATGTGGGAAAGTCATCTAAATAATTTGTGTACTACTCAATTCTAAATAATTTGTGTACTACTTGAAAGAATGACTTTAAAAAGAAACTTAAAATATTTTTTCCCTTTGGTAAAAACTGTTCTAAGTTGAAGATTTATTTGACTACTCACAGTAAAATGGTGCCTGTAACTTTTTAAAATTTTTTTGAGATGCCAGTTACAGGCCATTTTGTACAGGTCATGCTGCTATGTGAACAAAATGCTGAAATGTCTAAAGTGGTAAGAATTTTAATTTGTCTGTATCATTTTATTTTCAAATTTAGTGCCATTTTGCTAATTAAAAAAAATAATCTGGGGGAATGTTTTTAAGAATATTTATCTGCTTTGGGTTGCAAATAACAGAAATTCCTTCCTCAAAGTTGCTCAGCAGAAGAGAAACAGGTGCTTCTCTGGCTAATAGTAGCATCTAGCCTTGTAGATTGACTCTGACTGAGCCCTTGCAGATCTTTAATTTTTTCTGTATATTCAGCTAGAAATACACATTGCCACTATAACAGTCATTTTAAAAAACAAAAATAAAAAACCTGACCACCTGACCAACTCTCTTGTTCTAAGAGTTGATAGCTCACAGATCATTTCCATTTTCCCCAAATAAATCAAAGCTGGATGAGATGTGCTCAGAAAAGGACTTTGTAAACACTGCTTATTTGAAATAACTGAGCCTCTGTGATAACATTTAATAATACCTGCAGAGAACTGGGCGCGGTGGATCACAACTGTAATCCCAGCACTTTGGGAGGCCGAGGCAGGGCGATCGCTTGAGGTCAGGAGTTCAAGGCCAGCCTGACCAACATGGTGAAACCCCATCTCTACTAAAAATATAAAAATTAGCCAGGTGTGGTGGTGCATGCCTGTAATCCCAACTACTTGAGAGACTGAGGCAGGAGAATTGCTTGAACCCGGGAGGCAGAGGTTACAGTGAGTGAGATCGTGCCACTGCACTCCAGCCTGGGTGACAGAGCGAGACTCTGTCTCAAGAAATAATAATAACAACAATAATACCTGCAGAACAGATGAACTTTAATGTTCAGGTAAGCAGCTGTGAAGGTGTCTATATTCAGAAGTCCATATTCTAAAGACAAAAAAAGCACTAAAGCCTGAAGAGTGGAAATGCTGCTAGAAACTGGTTTGAACAATTTCAAACCCCAATTTTTTTTAAATTTGAAAATGTTTTATTGAGAGTAAAGATTTTTCATTATTTGTATTTACTTTTAATTCCTTACTAATCAAAACGGAAACAAATAATAAAAATATTTACCTTTAGGAAGCTTTTTTTTTTTTTTTTTGAGATGGAGTCTCTCTTTGTTGCCCAGGCTGGAGTGCAATGGCGCCATCTCAGCTCACTGCAGTCTCCACCTCCTGGGTTAAAGCAATTCTCCTGCCTCAGCCTCCCGACTAGCTGGGATTACAGGCACCTGCCCCCAGGCCCGGCTAATTTTTTGTATTTTTAGTAGAGACAGGGTTTTGCCATGCTGGCCAGGCTGGTCTCAAACTCCTGACCTCAGGTGATCTGCCCGCCTCGGCCTCCCAAAGTATTGGGATTACAGGTGTGAGACACCGTGCCCGGCCTCTTTTTTTTTTTTCTTTTGAGACAGGATCTCACTCTGTCACCCAGGCTGGAGTGCAGTGGCACAATCATGGCTCACTGCAGCCTTAACTGCCCAAGACCAAGCAATCCTCCCACCTCAGCCTCCAGAGTGGCCAGGACTACAGGTATGCACCACTACACTCAGCAAATTTTTAAATTTTTTGTAGAAATGGGGTCTCACTATGTTGCCAAGCTGCTCTTGAGCTCCTGGACTCAAGCAGTCCTCCCACCTCAGCCTTCTAAAATGCCAGGGTTACAGGTGTGAGCTACTGCACCTGGCCTAGGAAGCTTTTAATAAGAGTTACAAACAGTTTTGTAAATCTGAGAAGTTTATGTGTTTGTCCATTTGAAACTATTCTAAATTCTGATTTAGATGCCTGCGAACATTATTGAGTACAAGGAATGTCAGTCTTAAAGATAAAAATAACTTCCATATTGATTAGTAAAATCATGTTAAAAATTATATTGCAATTCTACATTTTTATTTTTTAACCAATTCTAATTTGCCAATCATGGAAGTATAGAATTTTCTTCTTGGTCTTTAATTTTTAATACATGACTTTAAAAACTAAATATTCCCTCTTTAGTCAAATACTGGTTGATACTCCATCTTGGGAAACAGATTGCTATAGGAACTCCTAAAGTAAGGAGTATAATGCTTACCCCAATTTTTAAACAAAGGCAATGCAATATTTATGAAACAATAGATTTGGAGAGCAAAAAGTGATGAATACTGTTTTTTAAAACATACTAAACTCACTTGTTATTTTCTATCTTACCCACTGCCCTCGATGAGAAAAAATTGAAAATGTTTCCTGATAGTTCATTTATGCGCAGCTCTAAGCAGTAATTTAATTACTTAACTATGGAATGGTTATTCTAAAGCAATAATTTAATTACTTAACTATGGAATGGTTATTCTAAAAAAATCCTAGATTGCTGTGAACTATGGAATGTCTATAAAAATCATTAGCATTGTTTTGGTTTTAAATATTTGAAACACTAAGAAAAACATTTGAAGCTCATTTGTCATGATCTTTTTTTTTTTTTTTTTTGAGACAGGGTCTTGCTCTGTCACTGAGGATGGAGTCTTATGGTGCAATCACAGCTCACTGCAGCCTCAGCTTCCCCGGGCTCAGGTGATTCTCCCATCTCAGTCTCCCAAGTAGCTGGGACTACAGGTGCGCACCATCACATCCAGCTACTTTTTGTATTTTTTTAAAGGCAATGTCCTTCCACGTTGCCCAGGCTGATCTCAAACTCCTGGACTCAAGCAATCCTCCCGCCTCAGCTTTCCAAAGTGCTGGAAGTGCTGGGATTACAGGAGTGAGCCAGGATCCAGTCTCAGGTATTTATTTATATAAAGGGATCTTACCTCTCTGGATGGAAGAGACTGAAATGGAATTACCAAAGTCCAAATATGTGTATCTGTTGCATTTAAAGTAGCACAGTTTCTCATGCCTGTTTTTTTTAATAGGCAATTACAACCATTTGAGGTCATGCTGCATCTCCAAAATTTCAAAGATGCAACTGTATTACACCGAAAAGCAGTTGAATTCAAGTGGCCATTATTTAAGGGGTCAAATTTATTCATGCAATGAACAAACAATCCTGACTGAATTCAACTGTTTATGGTTCAGGTTGTTTGTTTTTGTTTTGTTTTGGAGACGGAGTCTCACTCTATCACCCAGGCTTCAGTGCAGTGGTGCAATCTTGGCTCACTGCAACCTCCACCTCCTGGATTCAAGCAATTCTCCTGCCTCAGCCTCCCGAGTAGCTGGGACTACAGGCACACACCACGACCCCGAGTGGTGTATTTTTTTAGTATTTTAGTAGAGACGGGGTTTCATTGTGTTGCCCAGGCTGGTCTCGCACTCCTGAGCTCAGGCAATCCACCTGCCTTGGCCTCCCACAGTGCTAGTATTACAGGCGTGAACCACCGCGCCTGGCCGGTTGTTTTCTTTTTTAAAGAACTGATTTCCTTCCAAACCAATTCAGTGTTTCTTCCCAAACCATTTATGTGAGTACATGTAACTTTTAACACAAAAGCTAGCAAAAACCCTATATTTACAAGACCTGTTGGTTGATAATAAGTACAAAACTACATAAACACAGATTTTTCCCTGTAGATAAAAATCCTAGATTGCTGTGAAGAAACCTCATTCACTTTAACTTCCTTTAAAAACAAGAACGGATTTCCATGCACTGATTTACACCAGGAAATAGTTTTGTTGGTTATTTACAAATGCTTTTGAAGAATGCAGGTGGGATTACACATGAGGCTGCCACAAAAATAAATGTTAGTAAAATCATGACTCTATTCAGCATTAATCAAAGAGCAGAAGAGAAGTTATTATGAAAAATCTTACTCAGCAAACAATAAAAGATAAAATTCCACTAGTTAAAGAGCAATTTTAAAATAGTTACAAACATGAGTCAAATAATGAACACATGTTAACACATATTCAATTCACTGGTGGGGAGCCAGAAGCATGATCAAGCTGGTTTAAAGGCCATTTGGGGACCTGGGTACTCAGAAAAATTAGTGAAATTTGTAAAAGAGAATGTATGAATAAGATTACTAGTTAAGTCAAAAGAGGTTAATGTCCTACAGGGCAATGAAACCATAATCTTTAGAGTTATCTTTTATACCGGACATAAACCTAAATGAACATGTGACCTCACAGAGTCTAGGCCTTGTCAGTAGTAAATAATGAGTAATCCTTGGTGGCCTTTTAAACATTTTCCCATTGTGACATTGATAAGACATGCTGTTCCTCTTCTTTTTTTTTTTTTTTTTTTCTGAGACAAAGTCTCACTCTTTTTGCCAAGGCTGGAGTGCAATGGTGCGATCTCGGCTCACTGCAACTTCTGCCTCCCAGGTTCAAGCGATTCTCCTGCCTCAGCCTCCCGAGTAGCTGGGATTACAGACATCTGCCACAGTGCCCGGCTAATTTTTGTATTTTTAGTAGAGATAGGGTTTTACCATGTTGGCCAGGCTGGTCTCGAACTCCTGACCTCAGGCAATCTGCCCACCTCGGCCTCCCAAAGTGCTGGGATTACAGGCATGAGTCACCACGTCCGGCCCCCTCTTTTTTCTTTATTTCCAAGTTTGCAATTTTTTAAAAAAACCTCTGAAGCTGTGCTTAAATAAAAATTAGATTCTAGTACTACACATCAGAAGAGCTATTATTGAAAAGCCATTCCTAAATTTTGGGTTGTTCTCACCCCTGATTTGAAACAACGATTCCCCATCTCACAAGCCACCAAGTTTGCCTCCCTTTTGTCTCTCCCTATTCTAGTAAAGCCCTGAAAGTTTACTGCGAAAGCCATCTGGTTCTGTCCTCTGCACACGAGCACAGATTACACAAATTGCTTTCCCACTTTTAGAAGAAATATCACAATCTGCCACACTAACGTCAAACAAATTCCACCTGAGAGAAAAATGCTTCTTTTAAGCAAACATGAGTCTTCACTCTCTTGTCCTGGCCATGCACTAATGACCAATCAGCTACCTTTCTTAGTAATCACCTTCATTTTATTGGAAAGCCAATACTACTCTCCAAGCAAAATAATCACTGTACCTTTAACTTCCTCCTAGGTTTAGTTTTCCAATTCTAAATTCTCTTTGGGGACCCTTTTAAATTTGTCTTAATCTGATAGATGAAAATGCTCTCCTAAAACTCCTAGGACAAGCACTCCCACAAATACTGAAATAGATTACATTTCCTTTGCCTGTTTATACCTCCTGTCAGAGTAAAACATGCAAAACTCAGAAAAGAATGTAAATGAAAAACAATAGCAAAAAAATAAATAAATAAAAAGCAAGTAATTGCTTTGGGCTGGGAATTTGCTGTTTGTTGAATGTGCTGGATTTTTTGGTGGGTGGTAGTGCCCCTGATCTGCTACAGGAGTCCATGGCACCAAGCTGGGAAGCACCGGCCTCTGCCTACAGCACACGCACTCCAGACTTCCTCATAAATGAGGCCCATGAAGACCAAAATGAAGGGAAAAGCCTAGCATGTAAATATCTCATTAGCCTGGGCCTGGGCTGGTTGCCCAGCACTGATTGGGTTCCCAGTGACTTCTTTTAGGATTGGGGCCAGGACTTATTTTTATGTTCGATCTTGAAGCAATTTATTCAGTTCCCACAAACCTCCTGGTATTGTGAAAACTTCAGAGTCCACAGTGGCAGTCTCTGAGAAGGGTGTTTGAGTAGACTAGCCAGGAGAGAGAAAGACAAAATGCCACAAAGACACATAATGAAGTAGAGAGCCGTACCCCTATTGGTGAGAACAGTCCAAGTTTTGATCTGCCAGTCAATCTCCAGAGCTAAATTCCCACACCAGCTTGAGTAATCAGCTGTCACACCCTCCAAGGGAAAACCTCCCATGTAGGAGGTCATGAGGGAAAAGAGGCAATGGACAGGGAAATTTCATGTACCGATCACTAACACATTCCCAACCCTGCACAAGGTGCTTTAGCTAAATTATTCTTCAAATTAACCCCATGAAGAAGGACAAGAAATAAGAACCTATAGCCACCGTGTCATCAACCCCCATGCTCACCTTTAATTCAATGAACAAACTCAGGCCATGTATAAAACTTGGGAAGCCAACTTCAGTGCCAGAATTAATTATGTAACTTGAATAAAACCAGATTTAATGATTCCTTTTCACTTGACTCCCATCACAGGCTCATTAGTAAGGACAGAAATTTACCCCAAAGTGAATCACACGTAAGAAGGGCTACTCAGCATTCTTGGAGGATGAATGGTAAATGTCCTCCCAGTTGCCTAGAGACGCTGAATATACAGACAGCTATGGCTCATGGAGGGATTTTTTTTTTTTTTCTCCCTCTGACCTCTAGCCAGACTTGGGCTGAATATCAAAGGCCAAGTTCTTGGTCACATTCATATCTCCCTGGGCCTCTAGAAAAAGGTTGAGTGGGTTAGCTGAGGTGCAATAGTCAGCACTTTTCAGCAGGCAGGAACCATCCGTGCTGAAGGAAAGATAGCACACAGGGTGCCCAAAGTCATAGGTTTCTTGAAAGTCACAGGATTTTTGAAGAAGACAGGAACTATGTTTTTTAACATATGCTACTAAAACTCCAACCTGTGATCCTAAGAAGCTGAGGATATGGAAAAAATCTGATGGTACTAAAGCTTTCCATTCCCAAAGGAAGCAATGACCTTTGACATTTATTCATTCAGTTATTTCTCCAACAGGTAGTTATTGAGAGGTTACTATAGACTAGAGACCATTCTAGGACATGGGCAGCAGTGAACAAGACAACAGTGACAAAAAGATTCTTTCGTTTTTCTAGTTAAAGTAATAAGTGCTTGGTGACAAAAACTATAAAATGGAGGTAAACTGGAAAGAGTAACCACCTGAATCCTCCCAACCAGGAAAAAAACAAAAACAAAAACAAAAAAACAACTGTTAACTTCATGGGGTGTACACTCTCCTTTTCAATCTATTTCTTTTTTTTTCCTCTTTTTTCTTTTTTAGAGATAGGATCTTGCTCTGTCACTCAGGCTGGAATACAGCGGCATAATGATAGCTCACTGCAGCCTCAAACTCATGGGCTCAAATGATTCTCCTGCCTCAGCCTCCTAAGTAGTGGGGACTACAGGTTCTCACCACCACACCTGGCTGCTTTTAATTCTTTGTAAAGGCGGGTCTCACTATATTGCCCAGACTGGTCTTAAACTCCCAGCCTCAAATGATCCTCAGGCCCTGGCCTTCCAAAGCACTGGGATTACAAGTGTGAGCCATATTTGCAGTCCAGTTAAAGACTAATTTCCTAATTCCAATAGTAAGACTAGTAAGACTTTTTTCTTTTTAACAAGTGAGTTAGACCCAATAGAAATGAAGAAAACAAAAAGGAAATTCAATGGATCCCCAAGCCCTCCTCACTCACCCCCTGGGCTGCTGGCCAGGAGAGAGCAAGTGCTGCAGCCCCCACAGCTCCCAGTTGACTGCAGGAATGCAGGGGGCAGCATCATGATAGCCTCAAATACCTACAGGCCCTGGTTCATAGCCTTGGGTTCACCTGCCCAGGCAGGGGAGAGAAAATTCCATCAGTGAGTATAACAACACACCGTCCTGCAGGCTTGACCCTTTTATCAGGTTACAGGCAGGGAGGCCAAAGCTTAACTCGGTGTGGTTACAGATCTTACGGAAAACAGCAGGCAAGTGTGGACTACTTGGCATCTATATAAATAACATGCAATTTCTTCCACACTATATATTACTTAAAGCTAATCGCATTATTATTCAAGTTAGCACTTCTGCCTAAATTCAATCTATTGCACTTAGGCACAGTTGCAAAACGTAAGGTCCTAGTTTTTAATTTAAGAGAAGTCTGGTACCCAAAGCTTTGCTTGTAGAGACCAAGCCCTACACAAAAGGAAATTATCTTAAACCATACCAGAGCATCATTTTAAATTCTTCTGTCAGTACACCGAAGTTTATTTTATCAATTGTCTTTTTTTCTTAAATTATCATCCAATTTTTTTTTTTTTAAACTATAACAGTCCTGCAGTGAACATCCTGGTAGCTAAATGTTTGTGAAACAGCTTTATTATGGCCTTAGGATAAATTATTTGAAGTAGAATTGTCAATTCAAATGGCATATACATTTTTACGGCTTTTGAAATCAAATTGCCAGATTGCTCCCTCAGAAAACTTATCCCAGTCTTTATCCCTGCTAGTCTTTTATGGAAGTGTTTATTTCCCTGTAACTTTCTCTACATTGGATATTACCATAAAACAAAATTGTTAATTTGATAGACGAAAAAAATAATTTCATGGTTTTCCTTTGTATTCCTTTATTAGTAATGAAGTGAAAGATATTTTTATATGCTTACTATTTACAGTTGTCCCTCAGTATCCATGGGGTATTGGTTCCAGGACCTCTTGCAGGTACCAAAATCTGCAAATACTCAGGTCTGCAATATAAAATGATACAGTATTTTCATATAACCTATGCACATTTCCCTGTATACTTTTTTTTATTTTTTATTTTTTGAGACGGAGTCTCGCTCTGTCGCCCGGGCTGCAGTGCGGTGGCGCCGTCTCGGCTCCCTGCAACCCTTACCTCCCAGGTTCAAGCGATTCTCCTGCCTCAGCCTCCTGAGTAGCCGGGATTACAGGCACCCACCATCACACCCGGCTAATTTTTATATTTTTAGTAGAAACAGGGTTTTGTCATATTGCCCGGGCTGGTCTTGAACTCCTGGCCTCAGGTGATCTGCCCGCCTTGGCCTCCCAAAGTGCTGGGATTACAGGCATGAGCCACCGCACCTAGTCTCTTCTGTAAAGTTTTTTTTTTTTGATGGAGTCTCCCTCTGTCACCAGGGCTGGAGTGCGGTGGCGCGATCTCAGCTCACTGCAACCTTCACCTCCCGGGTTCAAGCAATTCTCCTGCCTCAGCCTCCTGAGTAGCTGGGATTACAGGCGCCCACCAGTACACCCAGTTAATTTTTTGTCTTTTTTAGTAGAGACGGGGTTTCACCATGTTGGCCAGGCTAGTCTCAAACTCCTGACCTCGTGATTCGCCCTCCTCGGCTTCCCAAAGCGTTGGGATTACAGGCGTGAGCCACCACGCCTAGCCTCCTGTATACTTTAACTAGTCTCTAGATTACTTACATTATCTAATAAAATATAAATGTTATGTAAATAGTTGTTATACTGTATTATTTAGGGAATAATGACAAGATCTAAAAGTCTGTATATGTTCAGTACAGAGATAATTATTATTTTTTTTGAAATGCTTTGATTCACAGTTGGTTGAATCCACAGATGCAGAATCCGCAGATAGAGGTGGCTGACTGTCCTTTTATGAATTAATTGCTCATATGCCTTGTAAGTGTTCTGTATATAGTAAAGATATTAAACCTTTACATATATATACTTTGTAAAAAATGAACTTCTATAATTTACATACTATGCCCAATAGTTTTTGTCTGCCTTGCCGTATATGTCATTTAAATTATTCCTTTCTTCCCTCCTTGGCTGCATTTATGACTTTCCTAATAATATTTCTAAAAGACCACTATCATCTTGAAAGAGTACAGTACATAACCCATGACGCAGGGGAGAAACGGGTACAGCAGGCAACTCTGTTCAATTTGTATGGAAAAATGTCTTGCATTTTTTCACTTTTTTGACTTGAAATAATATTTTACATCATGATTCAATGTACCTCATGTAAGTATATATGTAAATATACATAGGTAAAGCATGTTAAGTAAATGTACATATCACATATAAGTATACAGGTATAAAATAAATAAAAGTTTTCTAAAACAGTACTATCATGTTTAAAAAAAAGTTTACATACTGTACTTTCTGTTGTCTTAGGATAGATGCATGAGAAGAAAGGATACTTTATAAGGTAAGAACTCAAAAGAGGCAGGTTTCAGTATGTTGTCCAGGCTGCAAGGCAGTCGCTCTTCACAGGTGTGATGCCAATACCGATCAGTGTGGGAGTTTTGCACTGCTCTGTTTCCAACCTCTGCCACTTCACCCCTCCTTAGGCAACCTGGTTGTCTCCTGCTTCTGGGAGGTCACTACATTGATGCTGAACTTAGTGCAGACACTCAATTGGCATCATGCACTACAGCCAAGAACTCCTGGACTCAAGCGATCCTCCCACTTCAGCCTCCTGAATAGCTGGGACTATAGATGCATGCTATCATGCCTGGTAGTACTATCCTTAATACCTGCCTTGTACACAGATATTTTTCCTTTTTTCGTAGGCTAGTTGATATCAAATTAAGTTGAGTTCATGAGCCATTAATAATACCCAACCCACAGTTGGAGAAACACCATAATAATTGAAGATGCTCTGGATCCAGGAAAGAAATATAAGTATAAGCATCCTTATGTTTTCAGAGTTTAATTAATTAAAAGAAGAGTTTCTGGAATTGGGCTGCTTAGTTCAAAATCTGGTTTATGAACCATGGGAACTTGGGCAGAGTTCTTCATCTCGCTGCCTGGTTTATTTAACTTTCAAACAGGGACAATATTAATTCCTACCTTATAGAAAAGTCATGAGAGTTAAATGAGATGGTATGTGTACAATACTTAAGAAGCATGTGAAAAGCATTCAAAAATGCTATGAGATACAAGTATTCCCATCTTTATGTTTTTGGAGTCTAATTAATTAACAGAAATCTGTATTATGTTACCTGAAATATGTATTATACATGTATCATCTCATTTAAACTCTCATGAATTTTCTATAAGGTAGGGATTAATACTGTCCCCATTTGACAGTTAAAGAAACTAGGCAGAGAGGTGAAGAAACCTGCCCAAGTTCCCATGGTTCATAAACCAGATTTTGAATTAAGCAGCCCAATTCCAGAAACTCTTCTTTTCAACTCCTCTGACCTTCCACTTGCTCTGCTGCAGCCCAATATGAGTCCAGGGGCACTAACCCCTAAGTGAGGAAGAAAACTGATTGCAAAATTTAGCACCAAAGCTATAGAAAGTTTTGAGGTTTCAATAAACCGTAAGGCAGTGGGACAGGAAAGAGATTAGAAAGCAGAGAGTGAGGGTGAATGAGGGTCCGCCATCAGAGTAGCCATAGGCTGTTTGCAAAGAACCTGTTCTTTTCTAAATCTTTCTGTTCCTGCCGAAGGAGGAGTAGGTAGAAGAAACATGAAGCTCAAATAAAACAAGTGCAGGAGGAATATTAGGTCATCGGGCCTGGTTTATCTGTCAGCATTAGGCAGATATCTGTAATGAAATTCCACTATAAACATATACATGCAGGCATTTGTCTATCTTATTTTTTAGATGCAAATCTGTATTGGAATGTATAAACAAGGGTGGGAGGGAAAGGGAGCTGAAGCCATTTTTTTGAGGCTAGGAACTGTAACAAAGGCTATCCCCAGGCAAAATTTAGCCTTTATGATGTTAATTGAGGCATACCTTCCTGCAGTCCAGGTTTTAGCAGAGTCCAGAGCCTTAAAGGAGAGTCTGCCAGAATTTGGGCTTTTATAGTCACTCACTCCAACCCTCTTTTTCTTTTCTTTAATGGCTTACTATTTGTGTTTAAGTTGAAAACTTAGCTTCTTCTACTGGAAGAAGATGATGGGTTTGGTTTTCTAATAAAAAGACTACTATCAAAGTGGCAGGAAGTCTTGTTCACGCAAGTCTTTAAAAACTGCTGCAGTAATTCAGGCCAGCATTTAGTAACATCACAACCAGGAAGTCCTTTTTTAGATCTAATCTACATCCATCTTGCTGCAATTTATAAATAAATGTTGGCTTCCCACCCCAGCCCTAGAGTGCTGAATGCCCAAGGAAAATTTAAAACAGTGACTGAGTGCATACCAAACAGAGCCATCAGCAGAGTTCATTCATTTGCATACAACACATTGTGATCCTCGGATAAAAGATGCTACATTTGTACAAAGCCTTGCTAATGTTTTTTACAAATTAGTCCCATAATTAAACCCCTGCAAATAGTAATTGCAAATACTTACTTCATTACTAAATAATTCCTATTCAGAAAAGAAAAATCCAGCTCATTTACTTATTTTATTGTTGGACAGATATATACAATAGATCTTTATCTGAAGACATAGGGCATTGAGCTCTTGCTGAGATAAATTAGGAACAATGCTGAGATAAATTAGGAACAATGCTTTCAAATCCTGTGCACCAGAAAAAAAAAATGTGCTTCAGCTTTGCAGGTGTTGGCTGGAGGTGGGAGTTTCATGGTTGCATATTAACTCTCTGACCTCCCCTCGATAGCCAGGTGACAGCTGCAGTGAGGTTTCTTTGAAGTGTGACATTCCTTCGGCACTTCAAAGGACCCAGGCCTCTGAGGCAGGTATGTTTGCTGGCCACACCTGGTACCTGCCAACCCCACTGTAGCAGCTGGTGGACAGGAAGCTCCTAGGAACTAGCCCAGGGTCTCTCTAATGAAGTACATCTGACTGATACTGTTCCAAAGTGGGAGAGAAAGGCCCTCACATCAGTGAAGAGCTTCAAGCTCTGTCGTTTTCTAAGGAAACAATGTCTCCTCCACCCAGGTCAGCACTTCATAGCCCGGAAAGCAGCAAGTATGGAATTTTGACTAGAAAGTGCCCTTTGTGAAAATCAAACTTTATTCACACAGGCAAGAGGTCTGAGCAGATTGCTAAAGAGAGACTTAGTTAAAAGTGAAATGTGAGCAGAATGCTAAGGCTGAAAACTATTGCTGGGAAAGGTAAATGTGAAAACACCCTAATAATTGAATCCAACATGCCAAAGGGAGCACTTTGAGGTCAGACCTAGAATAGGAAAATAACCCTGGCCTCGATCCAAGTTGGTTAAAAAGCACTTAGCACATACGATATACTCCACACCATTGCCAATCCCCCAAAACAACCACCTTTTGGTGCTTCTTCTGAGTAACAAGTTTTTGGGTTTTGTTTTGTTTTGTTTTGTTTTTTGAGATGCAGTCTTGTTCTGTCACCCAGGCTGGAGTGCAGTGGTATGATCTTGGCTCACTGCAACCTCTGCCTCCCAGGTTCAAGCGATTCTCCTGCCTCAGCCTCCCCAGACACTGGGACTACAGGTGCCCGCCACCACACCCAGCTAATTTTTGTATTTTTAGTAGAGTTGGGGTTTCACCATATTGGCCAGGCTGGTTTTGAACTCCTAAACTGGTGATTCACTCGCCTCAGCCTCCCAAAGTGCTGGGATTACAAGTGTGAGCCACCGCAACTGGCCCTGAGTAACAAGTCTTACTGAGTCCCTACAGTACATGACCTGGTGTCAGGAAGGTAAATAAAACGCAGTGCTTCTCATTTACCATCTGGTTGAGACTTTCAGCTGTAGACCTCCCTGTCAGGCATTTAGCCTCTAAAAACAGATGCCCTCAGGTCCAAATCAGAGCCCTTCCATTTGCTGTGAGTCCTTGGGCAAATGGACTTAATTTTTTTTTGTCTCAGTTCCACCCTCAGAGAATAGCAATGAGGATTAGAGAGAATGCATGTACAATGACTAGGACAGTGTCTGGAGCTCAACAACAGGTCAACAAATATGAGCTAATACTCTTACAGCTATTACAGGGAAGAAGATGATAAGGTGGGATGTGGCCTTGGAAAAACCACTGTCCCACCCAGCTTATGGATCACATTGACTGTCAATGAACTGTATCTGCACTCATAACTCACTTGTTTCTGGAGGAAGATAGGTCTTACACTAGCTGTTTATGTTCCACGGGAGAATGCTATGAACCTAGGAACCAGGTCTCTGGTGTTTTCTGTTTGTTTGTTTTTGTTTTTTTGGAAACAGCTTCTCACTTTGTTGCCCAGGCTGTAGTGTCATGGTGCAGTCTCAGCTTGATTGCAGCCTTGACCTTCTGGGCTCAAGCAATCCTCCCACCTCAGCCCCCTGAGTAAGCTGGGACTACAGGCATGCACCACCATGCCTGGCTAATTTTTGTATTTCTCATAGAGATGGGGCCTTGCCATGTTGCCTAAGCTAGTCTCAAACTCCTGGCTCAAGGGATCTGCCCACCTCCTCAGCCTCCCGAAGTGCTGGGATTCAGGCATGAGCCACTGCACCTGGCCTCCAGTGTATTTTCCTACAGCATCTGGCAGGGAAGCCAATGCAATGGACCTCACCCTGCCAAGGCGTGGCAATGAGCTGGAAGAGCCTATACTGATCCCACCCACTACCTCCCAGTAGCATGCATGCACAGTGCTCAGCTCATGGGCTTGCGGTGAGGATTAAGTAAGATCGTGAGGGTGATGCTCTTAGTGTAATGGCTGGCACATACTAAGGATTCAACACTTGTTTACTCCTCTTATTAAGTTAAGATACAACCATTGTGCCTGGAACAGCAAGTGATTCTTTTTTTTTTTTTTTTTTTTTTGAGACAGTCTTGCTCTGTCGCTCAGGCTGGAGTGCAGTGGCGCAATTTCGGCTCCCTGCAACATCCACCTCCTGGGTTCAAGCAAAATTCTCTACCTCAGCCTCCCAAGTGGCTGGGATTACAGGTGCTCGCCGCCACACCTGGCTCACTTTTGTAGCAGAGACTTGGCCAGGCTGGTCTTGAACTCCTGACCTCGTGATCCACCCGCCTCGGCCTCCCTAAGTGTTGGGCTTACAGGCATGAGCCACCATGCCTGGCCGGTAAGTGATTCTTTTCCATAAAAACATCCATTCCCATCGCTGAGCTAGCCCTTCCATAAAATGCAAGATAACTGCAGAGAGAAGACAAAGGCAGAGAGTGAAAGGCTCATTTAGCTTTGCATCCTCACATGCATTATAGAATATGGTCAGAGAATAGCTTCAGAATTCAGAAAGGTCAGGGTTGGAATCTTGACTGCACAACTTAGTAACCAAGTTACTTAGCCTCTCCAAGTCTCAGCATCCTCGTCTATAAAATGGAGAGAGAGGTCATACAAATGAAACATAAGGTATGTAAAATATCTAGCCTGTTAGAACACACCTAATAAGATACACTCATGGCACCAACTTTCTCTCATGGTTCTCCCTTCAAGCATTTTATATATTCCCTTTTAACGAGTACTTTGTAAAGGCTGTAAAAATTGGCTTGCAAAATAGCATAAGATTGCATGACGGCAAACATCGTTGCTTTCCTCCAGAAAGCATGAGCTAGTGAACCTAGCATGGCAGCATATCAGCTGTGCTTCCCATCCAGAGGTAAGACTGGGCCCAGCCAGAAGGGAAAGGCAGAAATTTACTCTGATTAACACCAACCCTTCCTTTTGACTACCTCCCAACAACTTTGTCTCCATTACCAACTAGGCAGTATCTTCCAGGCCTTTAACACACGCGCACACACACACACACACACACACACACACACGCACACACGCACAGAGAGAGAGAGAGACCTACATTTTATTTATCCCCCTCTTTTCTTCACATAGGTAGGAGTATGTACTATGATGTGGTAGAAATGGCCTGAACTTTGAGGCCAGACACACTGGTGATTTCCCAAAGGAAACTAGTTCAAATTGACCCAGTTTTGCTAAGGCCT
This sequence comes from Homo sapiens, assembly GCF_000001405.40. Classification (NCBI taxonomy): domain Eukaryota; kingdom Metazoa; phylum Chordata; class Mammalia; order Primates; family Hominidae; genus Homo; species Homo sapiens. Next base: position 75,963,436 of record NC_000012.12, read on the forward strand.
CACCCCAGCCATGTCTACCTTCTCTATCAAGGTCAAGGCATGTACAATCTCTCACCTAAACCTCATAAAATAACCCCTGTCCAGACTCTCCACTCCACAACAATTCTCCTCTGTTAATCTCTCATTGGCTGCCATGAGGATCTATGTCCACATTTTACCCACCTCCTCCCCCACTGAACAACAATTCTGTGATTATGGGAGTGATGAACATTAATACTGCTACTATCACTGTTATGACAGCTTGCCTTTATTAAGGCATTGTGCTAAGGGCTATGGATATGTTAGATCATGTTATTTCTCATAACAACCCTGTAAACTGAGTATTATTTTTCCAATTTTTCAAATAAGAAAACTAAGACTCAGAGAACTTGGGTAACCTGCCCAAGGCCATAAGTCTCAAATATAGAAGCTCTGGAATTTCAAACAGGTTAGTTCATTCATTCATATATCCATTGATTCATTCCCTCAACATTCAAAATAGTTATTGAGTATATTCCCTGTGCCAGGAACCAGTGAAGCTAGGTTTTGGTTATCAACAAACAAGATGGATGCTATTCCTGTCTTAGAGGGATTTATCTTCAGTCTGATTCCAAATCCTGTTTCTTTACCACTACATGTATCATTTCCCAAATTAGGGATCAAACAGTCATACCAGTTAGTATAGTATACCTTAACCTGGAAAAGAACTGACACCTTCACTTACATGGAGACTGTAGCCTGATATACCCTGCCATCACCCTTCACAAGCAAAAGGAAAAATTTCTAAAGAGTTCTAGAAAATTCAGACTATATTCTGGAAGTACAACTCTAGAAGCCTGGGACCTCTGCATTCTAGTTCTGCTCAGTTTGAATATGGCACTAATGTGGAAGTCCACGAGTGTCTGTCACTCATGGCTGGCCACACCCCCTATTCTTGCACAGGTTCCCTCCCTGCCTGAGGAAGTATTTCTAACAGATATTTCAGTTCACTTCCTTCTCAGGCTGGCCTTGCCTCACTTCTAGGATTGTTTCTCTATCCATCTCCTACACACAGCCAGGCCACACAGGTAGGTTCCTACTTAGTATTTTAGTATGATTTCAGAAATACTGAGAAGCTAACAGTACCATCTCCTTCTCCAGGGCTACTGCACTGCCCATCTGCAGGGGCACAGACAACAGGATATGATAGGTGCCCCTGGGAGAAGAGGCTCTGTCTCTCCTCTCCCACAACACACTATTAATTCCTTACATACTCCCAAATGCCCCCAAATATACCAACATTTCCTTCTGCATTTAGAAAATTTTAAATGCAAATGACCTTCTAAAAGATCATATTCGGCAGACAGCGACAGACGGAGCTGCGGACCAAATTGGAACCTCTGGCTTAAGAGTAATCATGTTTCTTCAGTATTAGTGAGCAGGGAGATCAGGTCTATACGCTGGAGAAATTTGACTCGATGGGACAACAGACCTGCTTAGCCCATCCTGCTCAGTTCTCCCCAGATGACAAATATTCCCGACACCGAATCACCATCAAGAAACGTTTAAAGGTGCTCATGACCCAGCAACCGCGCCCTGTCCTCTGAAGGTCCCTTAAACTGATGTCTCTTCTGCCACCTGTTACCCCCTAGAGACTCCGTAACCAAACTCTTCAATCTGTGAGCCCTGATGCCTTTTTGCCAGCCATGCTCTTTGGCATCCAGTCTCATCATGGTGATTGATCATGCTTGTGCGAGGCAATCATGGTGGCATCACCTGTAAAGGGAACACGTTTAACTTTTTTTCTCATATTTTAAATTACTGCAAGATTATTAAAGATAAAATGATTTGAAGAAAAAAAAAGATCATATTCACACTAAGAGTCAAATCTTTTCCTGATGATATTTAGGGGTGGGAGTGGTAGGGGAGTGAGGGTGGAACACTTTGTGGCAGCCAAAATTGAAGGAGAATTCGGAGCATAGAAAAAAGTACTGAGGCCACCAGAGACAGATATTGCCCATGTCTGACCCCTTATACCAAATTTGGGCCTGGTTTTCAAAGTCACAAATACTCAAACCAAGAACAAAATAGGTTGAAATATAAGACACTGCTTTCTTTCCTTGTTCTTCACTTGTAACATCCCCCCCACACACACACATAAAATTCTGACACACTTCAGAGGGGAAAAATGATTTTTATAATGCCAAACCATCATATATTTTCTAGTTCTCAGAAGATTGATTGTAATGTGTTCACCTGCATATCATTTTAAGGACACAACTCAAGTTTCAGAAAAGAGGCATTCCTTGGTCATGTTCATAAGAAAATATAGCCTGTCTTTCACGAATAAGATGGGTTTCATTTAACATTCATTAAAGCGTGACTTACTTTCAGCTCATAAATCTTGAAAACAGATTCTGGCCCCCAGTGCACTGTTTTCATTGGCTAAGTCACTTTTTCTTTCCCTGACACTTTATAGTTTGTGTTTAAATATGAGACACAGCTAGTTTTGCCAGTGGGGGTTTCTGGTTTGACTTTACAAGAAAACACTGAACAAAATCCTCAAAGACTCACAACAGGTGTTCTATTTTCACCTCATGGTGAAATAGTACATTGTGTAGTAATGAAAAGAGAGTGAGAAAGGTAAGACAATGAAATATCCAGCCCAGCAGGACAGAAGATTTGAGATTTGGCTGGTTGGAAGTTTTAGAGCAGCTGTCATATTTGAAAGACTAAGTGCACATCTCTATAAATGCACTTAGTCCATCTATCCCTTTTAAAGAAGTCACCACTGGTTATGACATAAACTTGATGAAGAATATTGAAACTCAAATTGCAGACAGAGTGTGTCTGACAAGGTTTTGGGGGTGATGGTGGCAAGAGAATGGCCATTTTTAACAGAAAGAGGATGCAGATCTCATTTTTATTTGGAGGATGCAGATCACATTTTTCTGTCTGTTCACATCACAGGTATGGACTAACAACACTCTATGTGGCCTAAAAACCAACCAAATCAAGTTTCTATCAAGGCAGAAGAGGCAGGACAGCCAAGGAATTGAGCATAAAGGACACTCTACTGTGAGAGCTAGCCTTGATTTGACATGTGAGTAATGCCTTCCCTATATTGGGCTTAACTTCCAGGTAGCTCTTTAACTAAGGGAAATAATCAAAATAAGAATGATGATGACAATGGTAGCTAAGATTTATCAACTGCTTAATGTGGATCAGGCACTATTCTAAGTGCCTGATTTACTTACAGAAATTAACTTAATCCTGACAGCAGCCCTATGTGCAGGTACATTGATTATCCCCATTATACAGATGAGGAAACCAAAGCCTGGGGAGTTAAATGACTGGCTCATGGTCACACCATTAGCAAGGAACAAGCCAGGATAAAACAGCTAAAGAGGAAAGTTTTGGACAGGCTCATGACTACACATCATCATGAACAATACGTAGCCTTTTGTTAATGTTCTCTGCCATTAGGTGTCAGGAAACATACGACCTCAAACAATCTTCATACACAATGAAGAGATATAAGAAGATTTGGTAATCCAGGAAGTCTCGAAAGTTCTTCAGAAATGTTTAACCTATTTCAAAAATTTTCATTACTCTGCGCACACTATTCCTCATTACAGAAAGTGCTCAATAAACTTCTGTATGCTCCTATTACTATTTTTTGAGCTCTAAGTGTATTGTTCATGTAATCCTCACATAAATCCAATGAGGTGGGTGCCATTATGATCCCCCTTTACAGATGTGGAAACTAAGAAAAGGAGAGGCTAAATAATGTCCCAAGTTTACACAGCTGATACATGGTTTTCCCAGGATTCTAACCTGGACTCAGTACTCAGGGAGAGGATACATCTGTTGTGTTCATTGTTCAACCGCATACCGGGAACATCCATACGCTGAGTGATAATGAATAATTGTTGCTTAACAATATTTGTCAAACTGAATTAATATTATTATCAGACATGAATGTGAGTACCCAAAGACTCTTGTTTCCCTGATTACACATAAATCTTTATCCCTTTTGGTGTCTCAAACCAATAAATAATTCCAAGGGGAAAAATTCTATGTTCCTAACTAGTAGGCTCTTATTCTCTTCTATCTCTGCCTACTAAAAAAGCCAACTTGTGGCCAGGCACGGTGGCTCATGCCTGTAATCCCAGCACTTTGGGAGGGCGAGATGGGTGGATCATGAGGTCAGGAGATCGAGACCATCCTGGCTAACACAGTGAAACCCCATCTCTACTAAAAATACAAAACTTAGCCAGGCGTGGTGGTGGGCGCCTGTAGTCCTAGCTACTTGGGAGGCTGAGGCAGGAGAACGATGTGAACCCAGGAGGCAGAGCTTGCAGTGAGCCGAGATAGTGCCACTGCACTCCAGCCTGGGAGACAGAGCGAGACTCCATCTCAAAAAAAAAAAAAAAAAAAAAAAAAGCCTACTTGTTTTGTTTTTTCAAGGTCTAGCATTCTCTTCTCTGGAAGATTTCTCTGATCACTGCAACAAACTTAGTTATTTTCTCCTATGTGCTCTATAACCAGAGATCTTTACATTTAAATGTGCATCCAGGCCGGGCACAATGGCCCACACCTGGAATCCCAGCACTTTAGGAGGCCTAGCCAGCTGGATCATTTGAGCCCAGGAGTTCAAGACCAGCCAGGGCAACATGGCGAAATCCCGTCTCTATAAAAACTACAATGATTAGCTGGGCATGGTGGTGAGCACCTGTCATCCCAGCTACTAGGGAGGCTGAGGTGGGAGGATTGCTTGAGCCCTGCAGGTCATGACTGCATTGAGCCATGATCATGCCACTTGCACTCCAGCCTGGGCAGCAAAGCAACACCCTATCTCAAAAAAAAAAAAAAGTGCATCCAAGCTACCTGGGGATATTGTTAAAAGACAGATCCTCATTCAGTAGACCTGGGATGGAGCCTGAGATTCTATACTTTTAACATCCACTGATGCTGATGTTCTTGGCCTTGGTGCCACACTTTGAGAAGAGGAAAGCTCTACATCACTTCATCGCATGAGGGTCAGTTGAGGACCTCACTTGCCTTGCTATACTGTGAGTTCCTTGTGGGCAGGAGCTCTTTCTTACTCTTCTTTATATCTGGCACAACATTCTACTTCAATTATTTTGAAGCATTCTCGAAATAAGAGGAACCTGTTGGCTTCTCACCAAAATCCTGGAATTGGAATCTGGAGAACCAATTTCACTATCCTGCTGTAGGCTTGGAGAACTTGAAAAACTTGCCCAGAATTAGCAGGTTATCCCAAGCTCTTGCCAATGGTCAGATTTGTAAATTTTATCTGCTCCACTTCTCCCTTATGAGCCTAGCATCATTCTTAGCCAGTAGGGTACTCCCAGAGGACTCTGGGGAAATGGGCATGTGAGGACATCTTAGGTGGTCACAGTGGCTGGGGAGTGCCTGGCAGTTAGTGAGCAGGACCTGTGGTACTGCTGTGCAGGACAGTCCAACACGAGAATTGTTTTGCCCAAAATGCCAGGAAGGGAAACTCACAGAAGATAAGATTATGCCCAGATTTCAGGCTTGAATTTTCCAGCAGCAGAGAAGCAGCACGGCTAGCGGTTAAGAGCCTGGACTGAGATCCAGCACTTGCCCCTATGGGCTCAATGGCCATGAACAAGTGACTTCACCCCTTTTCTGTTCCTTCCTCTGCAAAATGAAGATGTTAAAGATCACACCTATTTCACCAGCTGGTGGAAAGCTTTAAAGGAAAAATAGCATATAAAGTACACAATGAGCTCTCAGTAAATACAACACATCATATTGTCACTATCACATTTTTTTGTTTTGCTTGTTGCTCATTTCAAACATGGTAATGATTGGAAATGGTCAAATTATTGGTCATCTCCCATCTAAACAAGAGAAAAGCTACTTTGTCAAAGCCAGCCTGGCTGGAGAGGTAATGTTTGTCTCCAGAGTCTGTTTTGGGTCCTGTTTCTCCTCCCCCGACCCATCACTTCCTTCCTCAAGCACCACTTTCCTTCCTTCTGGAGCCCTTTGGCTACCCAGGAGCACCCTTTCAGCTCCAAATGGGGTAGAAGCAGGGGTAGGGTGGAGTTTGACCTCCCAGAGCTAAGTGCTCTGGTTTTCTTCTATTCCGTTGATAAAACTCGCCCAGTGTATTCCTCCGAAACTGCTGCTACAAAAGCATAATACCCTCCCAGGGAACTTATTTGTATTTTGGCAGAGCCCTATACAGATACAATCTCTCACCCAAGAAAAAACTCAAATGGGGAGGGGTGGGGTTGGGAAGGGGTTACTCACTAATGTATGAGCCCTTTTTCTGGAAAGCTCTTTTTTCCTTAGACATCTGATGAACTCCTATTCATAATTTTGTATAAACTTGAGACATGATGTCTTCTGTGAAGTTTTCACACCTCCAACCCCCACCCTTGCCCCATCAAAGTTAGGCAGACGCTCCTCTGTGATCTCATCCCAAGCAGCACATGACTCCACTGCATTATGTTGCAATTCTTCACTTTCCTATGTGACAGAGGGTCCATTCACCCCATCCCTTTTAAGGTTCTCCTTTCTCCGAAGAATTTGGGGAAACGCGGAGGAGATTGCCTGCTTTGAGTCAGCACAGGCTGCACCCAGCTTCCACACCGCTCTACTCATTCCCAGTTGCCTTTGAGATGCCAGGTGACAGTCCTCAATTCCTGCTGCTTTGTTATGCAAAGCCAAAAGCTTTCTCTGAATCTCCTTCTCTCCTTCCAGACCACAGGCCCAGCCACAGAGGAGGAGAGGCTGACTACTCAAAAAGAAGTAGTTCAAGTTTAATTTTTAAGTCAAAGAGCCATCACACCTGGGTAACTCATGTCAGTCTCCTAGTATGTGAAATGGTGAGAATCAGTTTTTGTTCCAATAGCAATTTTTCCCTTCTTTTTGCCCTTACTTGTCCAATCCCCAGCTCTGAGCCATCCATAGTTCTCTCACCCAAACTAAGCCAGGAGTGATTTGAAGGCAGGGATTGTGCCATATTCATCTCTACATCTCTAGGCACTAATAGGGTGCCTGGCACCAAAGTTAGTGAGAAGGAAGAAGCCTTGGGCACAGAGCCTTTTTCATCACCCTCCTAGCCACACCTCTTTGGCAACCTATCTCCCCAAGTGTGGGTAATTCCAGCCTGCTCAGAACTTCTACTTGCCAGGGTCTGAGGCCATCTGAGAGATGAACTGGGCCAAATGAGAGAGAAAACAGATTAAACAGGCCTTGATTTTTTTAACCACGCTTGGATAATTATCTTTAGAATTTGATTTTGCTCTTTTTACTTAGTCCAAAATGCATATATCATTAAATTCTTATGATTTGACCATACTTTACAACAGTGACATTTGCAATTACAGTTTTGAGTTCTTCTCTACCAACAATGGAGCAAGTTTTGGTACTATAACTCAGGAATAGCCTATTTGGTTGAGATAATTACGCTGCCTATTTAAAATAAATGAAGATGACTTGGGAATTAGGATCAGGAAGAAGGATTTAGTCTTTAGTTCAATTTAATCACCAAACATCATCTCTGTATATTTAAAAGAACAAGATATAAAAATACAATAATTTTCACTGAGTGTTTTTATCTCAAACATTGTTGATATTTTTAATCTGGATTTCCACTTAACTTCAAGTATCTATTAGGCAGCCTGCTCTGGCGAAGAGCTTTGCAATCAGGCAGACCTAGGTTCAAATCCTGGTCCTACCACTTCCTACATATGCAAACTCAGACACAGGGGTCACCCAGGACAGTACAGAGTTCTGGATCATACGAACTGGCAAAATTCTGATTTAGTAAGTCTTAAATGGGACCTGGTTCAATTTTGAAATACGTTTACACTTAAAGAAAAGTTGCACATGACAAGACCCCATCTGATATCATTTGGTTGGGTCCCCACCCAAATCTCATCTTGAATCATAGTTACCATAATCCCCATGCGTCATGGAAGGGACCAGGAGGAGATAATTGTATCATGGGGGGTGGGGGTTACCACATGATTCTTATGATAATGAGTTAGCTCTCATGATAGCTGATGGTTTTATAAGGGGTTTCCCCCTTTGCTGAGCACTCATTCTCTCTCCTGCCACCCTGTGAAGAGGTACCTTCTGCCATGATTGTAAATTTCCTGAGGCCTCCCCGACCATGTGGAATTGTGAGTCAATTAAACTTCTTTCCTTTATAAGTTACCCAGTCTCAGGTATGTCTTTATTAGCAGCATGAGAATCGACTAATACACCATCCCTACAAAAATTTTTAAAATTAGCTGAGCCTGGTGCTATGCACCTGTTCCAGCTACCCAGCTACCCAGGAGGCTGAAACAGAAGGATCACTTGAGCCCAGGAGTTTAAGGCTACAGTGAGTTATGTCACTTTACTCCAGCCTGGGTGACAGAGCAAGACCTTGTCTCAAAAACAAAACAAAACAAAAAAAAAAAGGAGGAAAGAAAGAAAAGAAAAATTTGTTGCAAAAACAGTACAGACAGTTTCCATATGTCCTTTACCTAGCTTCTTTTAATGTTAGCAACTTGCATAGCCATAACACAATTATCAAAGATAAGAAATTAACATTGACACAATGCTATACCTACATGGAGTGATACTTATTCAATTTTCACCAGTTTTTCCACCAAAATCTTTTTCTCTTACAGGATTCCACATTACATTTTGTCGTCATGTCCCCTTAGTCTCCGCCACACTATGACAGTTCCTTAGTCTTTCCTTGACTTTCATGACCTAGACACTTTTGAAGATGAGTGGTAAATATTTTATAGAATGTTGCTCAATTTGTGTTTGTCTGATGTTTTCTCAAGATGAGATTGATGTTTTACATTTTTAGCAAGAATGCCACCAAAGTGAAGTGCCCTTCTCAGTGTATCGTTTTGGGTTAGGAGATATCATTATATCTCACTACTGGTGAGGTTAACCTGGATCACTCAATTAAGGTGGTGTCTGCTGGAGTTTTCTGCTGTCAAGTTAGTATGTCTCCATTTGTGATTAATAATCTTGAGGGAGATACTCTGAGAGAGTAAATATTGTGTTTCTCCTCAAACTTCCACACACTGATGTCTGCAACAATTATTAATGGGGTATTCTAATGGTGAGTTTCTATTTCCTTCCTTCTACCTTTATTAGTTAGAATTTTCCAGGAAGAGTTCTGTAAGGAAAAGTTGTGCCTTCTCTTCATTTTTTCAATTACTTATCAATATCAGTATGGACTCGTGGATATTTATTTTATTCTGAGTTTTAATTCAATGCTATCATTATTTTGTTCTTCAAGATAATCTAATTTTTTAAGAGACAAGGTCTTGTTCTACCACCCAGGCTGGAGTACAGTGGCACCATTGTGACTCACTGCAGGCTTGAACTCCTGAACTCAAATGATCCTCCCGTCTCAGCCTCCTGAGTAGCTGGGACCACAGATGTGCACCCCTATGCTTGGCTAATATGGTTTTTTTTGGTAGAAATGGGTCTCACTTTGTTGTCTGGGCTGGTCTTGAACTCCTGGTTTCAAGTGATCCTCCCACCTTGGCCTCCCAGTGTTTGGATTACAGGCATGAGCCACTGCACCTGGCCTTGAATAATCTGACTTTTTAAAGCTAGTTAAGGAATCGTTGACTTAGTCTCTCTGTTTTCTCATCTGTAAAATGAAAACAATAACAACATTCCTCTTAAAGTGTTAGGGTGAAGATTAATAACATCATGTGTGTAAAGCCCTCAGCTCATCGCTTACTTACAGTAGACTTTCAATATATATTACTATATTGTCAAGAGAGGCATTATGTAAATATCTGTGTTAGATACAGACAGGAGCTGGCAGCATAGTGTAGTCTGGTCAATCATGGAATAGATCTTAGGAAAACAAATAACTCAGGAATTCCATTTTGGAGGAAGAAGAGCAGAACTAGCTCTGCTACTAACTAGCCACTAATGTTAGACAAATCACCTCTCCATCTGAAACTCAATTTCCTCATAGATAAACATTGGAGGGCCTTTCCAATTCTAACACTGTGTGATACTAACTATTTGAGATATATGGAAAAATTTGGTAACTTACGCAAAGTGAAAAAACAGATCAATGATGCTTCTACAATGACTTGGAGAAGAGACTAATATCCATGAAAACATAACCCAAGTTTTTGCTGCCATTGTAGAAACAGCAATGACAAGAGCAGGGAAAATGACACATGTGGTTTTATTCTTGTCAGGTTCCTGCTCCATCTCCTAGTAAAATCCACATTATTTCCCTACCATTGAGTCTTACATATGACTTTTTTTTTTTTAATTATTCCTATCAATGACAAACAAGCAACTTCTTTTTGTAGTACTTGCAATTACATAATTGTGTTTTTAAAATTCATGCAAAAAAATGAAAATTGTTTAAAATAAAACAAACTATGATGTTCGTCTGTATCGTTATGTATCACCAGGGTCTAAGACACTGCCTAGCATTTACTATGAGATCAAATTTTTTTTTTTTTTTTTTTTTTTTGAGACGGAGTCTCGCTCTGTCGCCCAGGCTGGAGTGCAGTGGTGCGATCTCTGCTCACTGCAATCTCTGCCTCCCGGGTTCACGCCATTCTCCTGCCTCAGCCTCCCAAGTAGCTGGCACTACAGGCACCCACCACCACGCCTGGCTAATTTTTTGTATTTTTAGTAGAGACAGGGTTTCACCGTGTTAGCCAGGATGGTCTCGATCTCCTGACCTCGTGATCCACCCGCCTCGGCCTCCCAAAGTACTGGGATTACAGGCATGAGCCACCGCACCCGGCCCAAAAAATATTTTTTGATTAAACAAATGAATCAAGAATGAACAAATGAATGGCCATAGATATTACAAAAGAGAGAAGTATATCATAAGAGGATAACAATAATATGATCACTGCAATGGAGTTGTGGAGTAGTGCCTGTGTTGGGGAGAAGATGAAAAATCGTTCCTCATGTCTCACAGATTAAAAGGGCAGAATCCTGGAGATGGTTGAAGTAGGAGCTGCTACCCACTACTCCCTCTCCAACTTCCCCCTCTGAAAAAATGCCCTTTAACACTGACACTCAACCTCACATGGTGAGCAAAAACTGCTGGCCCAAGGTCCTGGCCTCTGCCACAGGCTATGAGCCTCATTCAGGTTCCACATTTAGTGTGACACAGATGTTACTTCCTCCTAAAGTTAAGGACATGGACTTAAACAATTCATAAGCACCTCCAAAAATAACTTCCATGTGCTCTGTAAATACCACCTCCAGACATACTCCAAAATTAAATTCCTGCCTCATTTGTTTTCCCGACACCTGCTCCTCAACTGACCAAACTGTTTCCCGTAAGCATTTAACATGCTCTCTTCTGGGGAAACACTGGCTACAGGAACCACACTGGAGAGCTGCCTTACACAAAAGACCAACACAAAACAAAGTACTTGTGCTGCTTTAGTAACATTCCCTGGATAAGGTGCAAGAGGGGTGGGCATTTCACCAAATTGTACTCCACAGTGAATAGCATTATAGCACAAGGAATGTTTCCAGGGTAATCCCCTCCATGCTGTCTTTGTTTTCTAATTAGGCTTTCTTACAGTAAGCTTATAATGTCTCCTACAGACTATGGGCACCAGATCACAGAGGCAGCCAGACCTGTGATGTAAGGAAACACAGAAAGTGGCCTTGGATCAAACATGAGCTTCAAAGATTGACGGTCCTCCTCCATCCCTTATGAAACTACCATAACCTGAAGCCTTTCATCCTGGTGGCTCCGAAGCCTAAGCCAGTGCTTTTTTTTCCCCCTGTTGCCCAAGCTGAAGTGCAGTGGCATGATCTTGGCTCACTGCAACCTCCACCTTCCAGGTTCAAGTGATTCTACTGTCTCAACCACCCGAGTAGCTGGGATTACAGGTGTGCAACACCAGGCCCAGCTGATTTTTGTATTTTTAGTAGAGACAGGGTTTCACCATGTTGGCCAGGCTGGACTTGAACTCCTGACCTCAAATGATCCACCTGCCTCGGCCTCCCAAAGCATTGGGATTAAAGGTGTGAGCCACCACACCCCACACCCAGCCCTAAGCCAGTGCTCTTAAGAAGAAAACTGAGGCCAGCATGGTGGTTCATACCTGTAATCTCAGCATTTTGGGAGACTGAGGTGGGACAATTGCTTCAGGCCAGCTTGGGCACATAGCAAGACCTCGTCACCACTAAAAATTATAAAAACATTAGCTGGGCGTGATCCCAGTTACTCAGGAGGCTGAAGCAGGAGGATCACTTGAGCCGAGAGGTTGGAGCTATAGTAAGCAGTGATTGCGCTACTGCACTCCAACCTGGGTGACACAACAAGACCCTGTCTCAAAAAAAAAAAAAGAAAACTCTGAGACCTTGAACCCATTACTGCTAATAAACCCAATAACTTTTCATTCTGCCTAACAAAAATAGACCCTCCTTTAAAAAGTGGTTGCCAAGGGCACTCCAAGGTCATCAGGCAAGTGAAATAAGAGACAGCTTGATAGAGAAGAAAGAGAACTTGGCTTTGGAGTTAGACCGTTTAGTTCCTCATTATGGCCATTTCTAACTACATAATGATGTTTAGTTACTTAAGTGCTCTGAAATGCAGTGGCCTCCATTACAAAATGGAGCCAACAAAAAAAAATAAGTATCTCCTGGTGTTGTATTTAATAAGATAATGGACTCAAAAGTGCCTGGCACAAAATAGGGGTGTAATAAACGTTAATTTCCTTTTCTGCCTCTACAAACCTGCCTGAGCCAATCAAGGAAGAGAAGGAAGGCGAGGAAGTAAAAATGGTTAAGAATTACATTTTAAGTCCCATTTCCACTCAGCTGCTTTTCCTAGCTCAGCAGAGAACATGTCAGACTAAAGAAGATCAAATAATCTTTGGGGTGAGTTGCCCTGATAAAGAAATATGCTGAAACAGCCTGTATGTTCTCAAAGTAAGAAACCAAAAGGGGAAAGTTCAGGACCTGTAAATAGATCCTTTTCATGCCCAAGTTCTGCAGATTTTACAACTTGCTGGGATATTTCCCAGGGAAATCAGAGAGAGGGGATAGTAAGAGGTGGCAGGGGGTTGGCGGGGAGGATTTCTATATTCCCATCACAGATCATTTAACTCTATTTGCAGCTCAGGAACCCCAGAGCACAGGAGACAGACCACTGAAAATTTCGTGCTTATTTTACCTCTTCACTGTCATTACTTTAAACATGTGTCTTAGCAGGAGTATTATTAGTTCATGACACAGTAGACATGGATAAGCATTTTTATGGAATTTTAGGGTGGGGAGAGAATAGATATATACCACTCTAGCCCAAAGTCATCCTGTGGTCGCTACTTAATACAAGTGAATTACATAGTGCCACCGGCAGAAGATGGAATTGATACTGCTTTACAAAATAACAACCTTGCATACATAGGTGGTAAGAAAAGCAAGGAAATGACTACCACAAAAATCAGGGTAGTGGATACCTCAAGACAGGAGAAGGGAGGTACGTCTAGAAGGTAAACAAAGGAGGGACGTCTGGGCTGGCCATGTTCCATTTCTTGATGGAGGGTATTCACTTTGTAATTATTCATTGTACTATACACTTATGCCTTCTGTTTGCATATTCTATTTCATAATTTTTAAAGGTTTAAAAAAAAGAAAATAATAACCTCTCTTCATTGAGAAAATAATACTTTGCTGTAGGTTTCAGCCCTAGGTATTGCAACATTACCATCATCCTCAGTTGATGTTCTTGTTCCTCCCATAGATTTTTATTCTGGAAGAAGAAGAGGAGGGTAGTATTTTTTTTTTTTTTTTTAAGACAGAGTCTCACTCTGTCACCCAAGGCTGGAGGCCAGTGGCACGATGTCGACTCACTGCAATCTCTGCCTCCTGGATTCAAGAGATTCTCTGCCTCAGCCTCCCGAATAGCTGGGATTACAAGTGCCCGCCACCACGCCTGGCTAATTTTTGTATTTCTAGTAGAGATGGGGTTTCACCACTCTGGCCACGCTAGTCTTGAACTCCTAACCTCAAGTGATCTGCCCACCTCGGCTTCACAAAGTGCTGGGATTACAGGCATGAGCCGCTGTGCCTGGCTAGGAGGGTGGATTTTTGAAGAGCCACAGGTAGACTGCTGTTAATACTCCTGTATAGATAACATACCAGGGAATGTTTTAATACAGGAATATGCTTGAGATATATACACACAAACATAATACACACACACACACACACACGTAATTTTTTTTTTTTTTTTTTTAGAGAGAGACAGGGTCTTACTATGTTGCCCAGGCTGGTCTCAAACTCCTGGCCTCAAGCAATCCTCCCGCCTGGCCTCCCAAAACGCTGGGATTATAGGTGTGAGCTACTGCATCCAGGCTTTTGGGGTATATTTCAAAGAGTCCAATTACTCTTGAGTCAGAACTCAGTGAAGCTCTACAAGATACCAAAATGTTCTCCAAGGGGTACGCAGCATTCGCAAATCAGAGTCATCAGATGCAAAGAAAGGGAATACAAATGGGCTTATGAAATCATTGGAAAAAATACACAATTTTTCAGGAAATATTAAGAACTCAGTTCCTCCTCCAATTCAGGGCATAGCAGAGCCTCAGGGCCTCTATGTGAAGAAAATCCCTCCTGTGTTTGGCATCTGAGTGACTCACCCAGAAAACCATCCACTGCGTGCAGCAAAGAGGAAATGAATCATGGAAGCTTCTGACCTTTGCACTTGTCATCTCTGCACAGGGAAACCACCCACAGACAGTCTCAGCAGAACTGGAGTCAGGGCAGTCAAACAAAGCACACACAGAAATGATGCAAATTCACTGGCAGGGAAGAGCAAGAGAATCAGGGCAAGAGAACGCAGCTCAGGGGTTGCAAATACAGGATAAACATTGGTTTTGTGATACAGAAAACTTAGCAGTTGAAACGGCATTGAGGATGATTTGGCAGTGCCCACTGACCTGTTGTTTTAAGCAGGAATCTGAACCCTTACCCTGCTGGCTGGGGGTGGGAGTGGAGTGGAATGGCATGGAAGAAAACAATGACCTTTGAATCTCCATCTTATATTTGGTATTTGGAGAATTTGCTTGGCTTGCGTTAGAGGAAGTAGGCCAAACTAATGCCAGTATGAGAGTTGGAATGGATTTGATAGAGTCACATTTAAGAAGATGAAAGCCAACGACTGCATTTTGAAAAGGCCATGAGTTCACAATAACTGGTCCAGGAGTACTAACACAATCTGAAGAATTATCTACAGCCATAGTCCAATACTTCACGTTGTGATTTGTTTTAAACAAAATCAGAATGCCTTTAAAATGCTAATTTGGAAGATAACTATAGTTCATCCTAAAACATGTACAGAGTAGAAAGCAAACACCTAGCGAGGACAGAAGGGCAAACCTCAAACTGCCTACATTACTGAATACAAGTGCATCAGGACTGTACGCTGAGATGCGATTGCTCTCAGCTTGTCTGCTCACCCATCAATGATGAGGGGGATAAGTGACTACCTACTGAGTTGCAGAGTTCAAAGGCATTTCCCTTCACCCCAAGGTGAGTTTTAAATGCAATTTCCCTTCTCACATGGGTCTACAAAGTACAGCTTCCTAAATACCTTTTTTAAAAAGAATATACCATCCCTCAAAAAACATCACCCAGGCCTTTGCCCTCAGGATAAACTTGGCAAGGAAACCTTGTCCTTACTAGTTAGAAGACTGGGAATTAGGCACTCGTATGCCACACAGTTTAATACGGAGCTCTCTCCTGTGCTTGATAACTCAGGCTGATAGAAGACATTGGATATTGGATGGTGTTCTGGTCACAGCTCAAGAAGGAAGATTTGGGGCTGATCTTAGAAACTTCCCTGTCCCTTCCATCCCACTTCTCACTCTGGCTACCTTCATCTTCTCTCTTCTTACCCACTTCAACATCACTTTACTTTAGAGAAAGGAGATTAGTCATTTCCAAGTAGAGAGGCAGCATTTATTGCCCTGCACCCTGTAGTTGCCCTTAGCATTTACCAACGGAAATGGAAGTGATTCAGTCTTCTCTCACATCACAGAACTATAGTGTGATCCTTTGCACACCGTTAAGTGATTTACATACAAGTGGTACCAGGGAGTGCTAGTATTCTCTTTCCACTCCCTTATGAAGTTCCATCCCCACTTCTATCAGTATATGCAACTAATGAACTAGTATATTTCTGCAATAATAATAATTTTTAAAACAGCTATCATAAATTTGATATTTACCATATGCCAGGTACACTGCTAATTTTTTTTTACAAACATTAATCCTTTTAATCTTCATAGTAACCATATTAGATTGGTGCTATTTTCATCCCCACTTCAGATGGGAAATGATGAGTTTAGGGGATTGTGTAACTTGCCCAAAATCAAGCCAAAAGGTAAAGGAGCCAGGATTTAAGCCCAGAGCTGTTCACCTCCAGAATCTGAGCTCTCAGCCACCACACTATAGGCCCTAGGAGGCTGAGGGCAGGAAAAGAAGCAACTGAATTCTATTTGTTGCTACAGTGATTCTGGTCACCTTTTCTTTATGTAATCATAGCAGGCAGTAGACGGGAAACATAATGAAGTCTTATTTCCAAGAGGACATCTCAGCTGTCATCTATGAATTTTCGATATTTCTTTCTTATGTATAAGAAATGAGAAAGGAAGAAAGACAGCAGCAGAAGCCCTAGAAGTTTGTAGCCTTATTTCCCTATTCCTGGATAATGGGGAATTTGACCTTTCTGAAAAGATGGTCTTTCAAGCTTGACCAATAAAAGCCCCATCAGAAACACCTCATCAAGCACACATAGAAAGGGGCCAATTGGGTTCAACTTCTCATTGGGAATTCATCGTCTGACCTTCTGTTGGGAACAACATTTACGATAAGATAAATCACACTCTCATCTTCTCCCACCATTTTGAACCGGAACTAACCTATCAACAATTTAGTGAGCATCTGTCATGTGCATTGAGACTATCACGATTACTTTGTAGCAATCACAGAAAAATTAGACAGTCTGTCTTTAATTAGTGCATGTTCCCCATAGCTTGGCATTTAGTAGCTAGTTTATTGCAGATGTACAGTACAATTGGTTTCTGGTTCAGGACCTCATTATGTTCAAGACAATACATACACATATATACATATTTATTTTTTAAATCAGCAGCTTAGAGATTCGAGATTTCTTTACGTTAATCAAAGTTCTGACTCTGGGAATAGAAAAAGACAACCCAACTTTTAGATTTCAAATGAATGTCACGGTTGTTAGAAATTTTCTAGGAAAACTAAAATCTTTAGGAAAAGAGAAATGAATTGTATTGATTCTCTTTTGCTGATTTAGTGGGTGTTTGTTTGTTTTTGACGGAGTCTCGCTCTGTCGCCCAGGCTGGAGTGCAGTGGCGCAATCTCTGCTCACTGCAACCTCCATCTCCTGGGTTCAAGTGGTTTTCCTGCCTCAGCCTCCAGAGTAGCTGGGACTACAGGAATGTGCCACCACGCTCGGCTAATTTTTTGTATTTTTAGTAGAGACAGGGTTTCACCGTGTTAGCCAGGATGGTCTTGATCTCCTGACCTCATGATCCACCCGTCTCGGCCTCCCAAAGTGCTGGGATTACAGGCATGAGCCACCACTCCCGGCCTCGCTGATTTAGTTTTAAACCCCATAGTGTAACAGGAAGAACTATCTTCAAGGATTCAGGTTTTGAAACTAGATCTAGTTCATATCCTGGTTCCTACACTTACTAGCTAGCTATAAGTTGAGCAAGTTATTTAAGCCCTCTAAGCATCCATCTCCATCTATAAAATGGGTTGTATGAACCGAATGAATCTTCTGTCTAAAGCACTATCACAGTGCCTGGCATAGAGTAAGAGTTCCATACACGCAGCTTACAAACAAAAAAAAAAGAGGGAAGGAAGGAAGGGAGGGAGGGAGGGAGGGAAAAATCCTCATTGTATTCTTCCAGTTACCAATTTGCAAACTACAGATGCCAAAGACAGGCTGGCCTACATGAGATAAGACCTGGCAGCACAATAAAGACTCGCCACAAAAATACTGGCTACAAAGCGGATTTTGCTATAAGGAAGGTCTATTTAGGGCCCAACCAAGGGAGCTTAGTGATTACTAAGGCACTCCTTTCCAAGGAAGTGTACCCATATCACATTCCCCATGGAAAACCTGTTGAGACACCAGTGGAAAAAGATTGAGAACCCGCCCTTAACTGAGCATTAGGTGGGAATTTGCCAAGATAATCAACGATAATTGGCATAAAAGAAAAAGGCTTTTGAAATCAGACCCAGCTAATTGGCAGAAAGAGAGGGTCAGACAAAGGGAGCACAAGAACCATGTGAACTGTAGTCTGAGTTCGAGTTAACCCAGAGTCATTAAAAAACATAAACCAAGTAGCTCTCCCACATCCCAATCTCTGCATTAAATAACTTCTTTCCAAAGTAAAGCTAGCGGGAAACTTGCAGGTGGAGTTTGATCATCTCGAAACAAAATATTAAACATAATTGTTATATATCCTATCCCAGCTGTTAATCATGAACTTGGCATAGAGACTGTCAGCAAAACTTCCCCAAATTAAGTTTCATTATTAGGTATGTATAACTGATTTCTGAATGAAACTGAGAAACTCACAAGTAATATAATGAAGGCTTAAAGAAATTCTCCATTCTGAGCCTTATGGAGTAGAGGAGGATAGAAGATAAATACAAAACCTCAGTATATAACAAGCCGTAAAAAATAAAACGGGGGAGGGGGAGGGGGAGGGGGAGAATAAATGGCAAAAAAAAGCCTAAGAGAAAAATTGCCAAGTTCTCACAGAATCTACAGAGAATGAGAGAAGAGAACATAGAAGCTGACAGGAAGAGTCAAGAAGAAAACCGTGGGAAAATGCGAAAGCGCCTTGAGGAGGAGCCAAATTTTAGTGGGTGGGAGAGATGAAATGATAACATCCGCAGGGACAGCCGAGAGGAAAGAGTCAGGAGTCGCCTTGGAGAAAAGAAAGGCTCCTGGAGATGTGGGAGGAGGCTGTGCTTAGTAGGAGCAGGTTCCTAGACATCACGGAGATGAACATGACTGTGGTTGTGGACAAGAGCAACAACACATATCATATAAAGGGCTTTATTGGCCAGGTGCGGTGGCTCATGCCTGTAATCCCAGCACTTTAGGAGATGAGACAGATGGATTGCTTGAGCCCAGGAATTTGAGACTAGCCTGAGCAACATAATGAGACCCCATCTCTATTAAATAAAATAAAAATTAAAAAGAGTTTTTCCACTCCTCCAAGAAAAGATTTTATTTTTTTCCTCCTGAGGTAATTTGTACGAGAGTAATGCCTATATATGTTTTTCTTTTTCTTTGCTTTTATTTTTTGCTTTGTTTTGAGACAAGGTTTCACTCTGCTGGAGTGCAGTGGCACGAGCACCGCTCACTGAAACCTCTGCCTCCCAGGCTCAAGCGATCCTCCCAACTCAGCAAAGGTGAAGGTGACAGAATCCTTGGCCACAGGTGCCTACCACCATATCTGGCTAATTTTTTTTTTATTTTTGTAGAGACCAGGTCTCCCTGTGTTGCCCAGGCTGGTTCCAAACTCCTGGACTCAAGGATCCTCCTACTTTACCTCCCAAAGTGCTGAGATTACAGATGTGAGCCATGCCCAGCCATATATATTTCCTTACAGCTCCTCTGTTATGAGGGGAAGTGGCGAGAATGGGTTAACCTGGGCACACTACAAAAGGCTGTGGGAGGATAACTGGGAGGTGGTGGCATTAAGTGACTCCACCACGCCTTGGCAGCTGGAAGCATGGAGACGTGACCTTCAGCTCAGCTCTTCTACATGCCATCGGAGAGCTCTGACAGCCTGTCTTCCCTGGGATTTGAGAGATCACCAAGCATTGGCAGCTTCCCCTAGTTATCAGTTCCCAAAGACTGTCACAGTCCTCAATCAAGTCCCCCATAGCAGGGTGAAGAACATCTTTTTCTTCCAAATATTCCTCTTTCTCACCCATTCCTCACCCTTACTTTCATTTTCCTTTTCCACTTGAGTGAAACGATGCAATTCCAGATTTTGCTATTGGAAAAGACATATGGAATGCCAATTTGTTTCCACTTGGACATGATGTCAGATAGACATCTAACACTTAACACCTCACATATGAACTTATGATCTTTCCCTATCCCCACCCCTCAAAAAAACCTTGCTGCACTTAAAGTTTCCCCCTTTCACTTAATGCCAACTTCATCCCTCCTTTGACTCTTCTATTTTGCTTATGCCCCATGTCCAGTCCATCCACAAATGCTATTGGCTTACCGTCAGAATACACCAGGCCTCCGGCACTCCTCACTAGCTCCATCGCCTCTCACCTGGACTTTTGCAGTCACCTCCCAGCTGGTCTCCCTGTTTCTGCTCCTGTTCTCTGACACACAGCAAAGCCAGCCACCTGGTCCTCTTAAACTTCAAGAGCAGTCATAGCACTTCTCTGCTCTGAAACTCTCCTGGGATGTCCAGTCTCAGTAGGAGTAAAAGCTAATGGCCTCACAGTGCCCTAAAGGACCCTCCCCATTCATTCTGGTGCCCAGGAGCTCTCCCTCTTCCTCACTTCCACTCCAGCCACTGGAGTCCTTTCACACTTTCAAACCTGCTAGGCAGGCCGGGCATGGTGGCTTACGCCTGTAATCCCAGCATTTTGGGAGGCCAAGGCAGGCAGATCACCTGAGGTCAGGAGTTTGGGACCAGCCTGGCCAACATGGCAAATCCCCGTCTCTACTAAAAATACAAAAATTAGCCAGGCATGGTGGTGGGTGCCGGTAATCCCAGCTACTGGGAGGCTGAGGCAGGAGAATCACTTTTACCCAGAAGGTGGAAGTTGCAGTGAGCCAAGATAGAGCCATTGCACTGCAGCCTGGTGGACGGAACGAGACTCCATATCAAAAAAAAAAAAAAAAAAAACCTGGTAGGTATACCCAGTGTTACCAGATTTAGCCAGATTTGGGCAATAAAAATACAAGGCACTCTAAGTTTTTAACATAAGTATGCCCCAAATATGGCATGGCACATATTTATATTAAAAAATGGGCTCATGCCTCTAACCCCAGCACTTTTGAAGGCCAAAGGAGGAGGATCACTTGAGGCCAGGAGTTCAAACCAGCCTGGGCAACAAAGCAAGACTCCATCTCTACAAAAAAATAATAATAAATTAGCCCAGCACAACAGCGCATGCCTATAGTCTCAACTACCTGGGAGGCTGAGGCAGGAGGATTGCTTGAGTCCAGGAGTTTGAGGCTGTGGTAAGCCATAATCGCATCACTGCACTCTAGCCTGGGTGACAGAGTGTGACTCCATCTCTAAATATATGTGTGTGTGTGTGTGTGTGTGTGTGTGTGCATGTGCACATGTGCGTGTATGTCTCTGTGTGTGTGCATGCACGTGTGTGTGCATGCATGGGTGTGTGTATGTGCAACCTGAAATGCATATTAAACTGGGCATCCTGCATTTCATCCAACCAGCTCCGGTTTCCCGCTGACCTCAGGCCCTTTGTACTGCTTGTTCCTGCTCTCTGAAACACCCTTCCTCTGATACTTGTGTGGTTTGCTCTCTTACCTACTTCAGTCCTTTGCTGAAATGTCACCTTCTGGGTGAGGCTGGCTGTAGTCACATGAACAATTATAATCTTGTGCTTCCTATCCCCTTTCTCTGCTTTATTTTTCACTCATAATTTACTAACATATTGTTGGTCTCCACCAACCACAGGTTAACTCGTGGAGAACAGGATTGGTTTTGTTGTTCTACTTTGCTCACTGCTGTATCCCCAGCACCCAGAGCAATACTGACACCTGGAAGGTGTCAATGAGTGTTTGTTGAATGAACGAATGAGCGAATGAACATCACAAAGCTCTTAATAATACGTGGCCAACAACAAATTGCTACTGATTCAAAGATTTTTATACTCTACTCGCCATCCATTTTGTGACAACCAAATAATCCCAACCCCTCCCAAAAGAGCAACCCCAGAATAAATCACCTTTCTTGGCTACCCACAAAAGAGATTTTCTCATTTGATATTGATTTTAAACAAAACCACCAACTTCACAAAATGCATATAATGAATTGGCTTACTTTACTTAGTGCTTTATAGTTTACAAAATATTTTTACCACATGAACCCCTGTCAAAGGCCTTAGATGCAACAGAACTAGATTCAAGAGGAACAGTTTCACAATGGAAAAATCTGGATTCCATGATAACAACTGCATTTGCAAAAACGGTAATACCTAACCCAGAATAATTCAGTACAATGCCTACTATACTCACCCTGCCGAAAATGTCCTCTAGAATCCAGCTGAAATTGCTGATGTAATAACTTGTGAAAACATATTGGCAGAATATACTTCGATTCTGTATGTGTATATGTGTGTTTATTGTGTGTGTGGCTTTAAAAGACAAACAGCCTAGCTCACATATCCTGAATAAAATGAGCTCAAGTAATTATTGAACTTGTGTCAGTTTTATAATCATCAAAGTCTCTTCGGTGTTTATATTAGAGCGTGAGAAAAGTATACATTGTTATGTGTTTCAGAGTGAACCAATGTACTGCCCCTCTAATTTTCCATCAGAGGGAGGAAAAAAGTCGTCTAGAAACTTAACTCTTGTGCATACTGCAAGCCGGGTTCCTTGAGTGCTTCTGGGAAAAACTGGTGGACACAGGTGTTCCTTAGACTGTTAATGCAGAAGTGGTTCTCAGCCTCAGCAACTCACTGCAATCACCTGGGGGTGGTTAACAATTACTGATCCCTAGCCCTATCCCAGCGTTTCTAACATAATTGACTGGCATGCACCCTGGACCCTGGAAGTTTTCAAACCTCGTCACCTGAGTCTAAGAAACAGCTGAGGTTGAGATTACTGTTTTAAAATCTTCAAAAAAATGCACAGCGAAATAAATAAATCTTTTTTAGTTTCCTACAATAAGCCACGTTTCCAGGTCTTAAAACTCCTCTCCAGAATACAGCACAGCAGATGAGTTTGAAAGGAAAAGAAAAAAACTCTCAGATTTTATTGAAAAAATCGATGTGTACTGTTTGAGGTTGGGGGAAAATTCAGGCTTTAATATAAACAAAGGCAGTCTCAGTACAGCAGCCCTGGGAAACTCCCCAATTTAACTTAGCCTTTCAACGATTCTCATCTGCCATAACTGTGGCAGCAGGAATAATAACTGACAATGTACTCTTTATTCACACCAAACACGCCAGTGGACTTCAAAAGGAAATCAACATTTACAGTTTAATTACTGTTTATTCCCTGTATTCAAATCAGCTTTCTTTGGCTACCCCCTTCTAAATGCTCAGAAGGGGATTTAATCATCTGATCTAATTTTTCCAAAGAATAGAAAGTTATCATTACGACAGCACGCTGAAAAAATAATTAAACAAATGCAAAAGAAAGTGTAAAAAATATAACTGCATTGGGTATTTCTGAAGACCTCTGTAAGATAAAGCAGTTCGTTTTTAAGGCAATAATTTAGGGGTTAAAAAGACTGATTCCTACTTTTAACGGAGTTTAGACTTCTGTCTGTGCTGGCAGAATGAAGTGCATTAGTGAAAAATGTTATTGTGCTTAAAGTCAATGTGGCACCACCTACATCAGTGCTGCCTAATAGAAAATTAGGCCAGCTGCTTATATAATTTAAATTTTCTACTAGACACATTAAATTATAAACAGAAACAGGTGAAATTAATTTTAGTTATTTAGTTTTAACCCAATATACCCAAAACATCATTTAAATATGAAATCAATATTAAAAATCATTTATAAGTTATTCTACATTCCTTTTTCTTTTTTGTACTAAGTTTTTGAAATCTGGTATGTACTTTATACTCATAGAGCATCTCAGTGCAGATTTAGTGTCATTTCAATTGCTTATTAGCCACAAATGGGTGGTAGCTACCATATTGGATAGTAGGGGTCTACACAGCAACAATAGTCTGAGAAGTAAAGAAAATGTTTTCCCTTCTGGTTCTTTACTTTTTGGCAAAGCACTTTTAGCTGGGCTACACAGAAAGCTGGGCTTCCTACACTTTGACATTTTCTGTGGCTTTGCTGGAAATGGAAACTATAGTTTGGCCCTTTTCTGCACTACCAAAATTCATGTAGCTTTACATATATATATATATATATATATATTTTAAGTTCTGGGATACATGTGCAGAACATGCAGGTTTATTGCCTAGGTATACACGTGCCATGGTGTTTTGCTGCACCCATCAACTCATCATCTACATTAGGTATTTCTCCTAAAGCTATCCCTCCCCTAGCCTCCCACCCCATGACAGGCCCCAGTGTGTGATGTTCCCCTCCCTGTGTATCATTGTTCAACTCCCACTTATGAGTAAGAACATGCTGTGTTTGGTTTTCTGTTCCTGTATTAGTTTGCTATGAATGATGGTTTCCAGCTTCAGCCATGTCCCGGCAAAGGACATGAACTCATCCTTTTTTATGGCTGCATACTATTCCATGGTGTATATGTGTCACATTTTCTTTATCCAGTCTATCATTGATGGGCATTTGGGTTGGTTGCAAGTCTTTGCTATTGTGAACAGTGCTGCAATAAACATATGTATGCATGTGTCTTTATAGCAGAATGATTTATAATCCTTTGGGTATATACCCAGTAATGGGATTGCTGGGCCAAATGGTATTTCTGGTTCTAGATCCTTGAGGAATCGCCATGCTGTCTCTTCCACAATGGTTGAACTAATTTACACTCCCACAAACAGTGTTAAAGTGTTCCTGTTTCTCCACATCCTCACCAGCATCTGTTGTTTCCTGACTTTTTAATGATCGCCATTCTAACTGGCGTGAGATGGTATCTCATTGTGGTTTTGATTTGCATTTCTCTAATGACCAGTGATGATGAGCTTTTTTCATGTGTTTGTTGCCCACATAAATTTCTTCTTTTGAGAAGTGTCTGTTCATGTCCTTCGCCCACTTTTTGATGGGGTTGTTTTTTTCTTGTAAATTTGTTTAAGTTCCTTGTAGATTCTAGATATTAGCCCTTTGTCAGATGGATACATTGCAAAAATTTTCTCCCATTCTGTAGGTTGCCTGTTCATTCTGATGATAGTTTCCTTTGCTGTGCAGAAGCTCTTTAGTTTAATTAGATCCCACTTGGCAATGTTAGCTTTTGTTGCCATTGCTTTTGGTGTTTTAGTCATGAAGTCTTTGGCCATGCCTATGTCCTGAATGGTATTGCCTAGGTTTTCCTCTAGGGTTTTTATGGTTTTAGGTTTTACGTTTAAGTCTTTAATCCATCTTGAGTTAATTTTTGTATAAAGTGTAAGGAAGGGCTCCAGTTTCTGTTTTCCGCATATGGCTAACCAGTTTTCCCAGCACCATTTATTAAATAGGGAATCCTTTTCCCATTTCTTGTTTTTGTCAGGTTTGTCGAAGATCAGATGGTTGTAGATGTGTGGTGTTATCTCTGAGGCCAAGCAAACTTAATAGACATCTACAGAACTCTCCACCCCAAATCAACAGAATATACATTCTTCTCAGCATCACATCGCACTTATTCTAAAATTGACCACATAATTGGAAGTAAAACATTCCTCAGCAAATGCAAAAGAAAGGAAATCATAACAAACAGTCTCTCAGACCACAGCACAATCAAATTAGAACTCAGGATTAAAAATTCACTCAAAACCCCACAACTACATGGAAACTGAACAACCTGTTCCTGAATGACTACTGGGTAAATAATGAAATTAAGGCAGAAATAAATAAGCTCTTTGAAACCAGTGAGAACAAAAACACAATGTACCAGAATCTCTGGGACACAGCTAAAGCAGTGTTTAGAGGGAAACTTTTAACACTAAATGGCTATAGGAGAAAGTGGGAAAGATCTAAAATCGACACCCTAACATCACAATTAAAAGAACTAGAGAAGCAAGAGTAAATCAAAAGCTAGCAGAAGACAAAAAATAACTAAGATCAGAGCAGAACTGAAGGAGAGAGAGACACGAAAACCCTTCAAAAAATCAATAAATCTCCAGGCGCGGTGGCTCACGCCTGTAATCCCAGCACTTTGGGAGGCTGAGGCAGGCAGATCACCTAAGGTTGGGAGTTCAAGATCAGCCTGACCAACATGAAGAAACCCCGTTTCTACTAAAAACACAAAATTAGCTGGGCATAGTGGCACATACCTGTAATCCCAGCTACTCGGGAGTCTGAGGCAGGAGAATCGCTTGAACCCAGGAGGCAGAGGATGCAGTGAGCCAAGATCGCGCCATTGCACTCTAGCCTGGGCAATAAGAGCAAAACTCTATCTCAAAAAACAAACAAACAAACAAGCAAACAAACCAACAAACAAAAAACAATGAATCCAGGAGCTGGTTTTTTGAAAAGATTAACAAAATAGACCGCTAGCCAGACTAATAAAGAAGAAAAGAAAGAAGAATCAAATAGACACAATAAAAAATGATAAAGGGGATATCACCACAGATCCCACAGAAATACAAACTACCACCAGAGAATACTATAAACACCTCTACACAAATAAACTAGAAAATCTAGAAGAAATGGATAAATTCCTGGACACATACACCCTCCCAAGACTAAATCACGTAGCTTTTCATCAGCCATAAAGAAAGAATCTGATTGAGCCTGGTTTCAGGAATCCCTGAAAATTAACGATAATTTTATCCAACATATAACCTATCCATGTAGAACCAGTGTCTTTGACATCTTCTTTCCCTTTGTTAATAATATTTGTTGATCACACTTGAATGGATCACTCTATCTTTAATAACTGCAGTATATGAAAAATGTTTGCTCCTACTTCACAGGCATTTGAAAGAAGCTTAAGACCTTTTCATGATCCCAGGCGGCACATTCACAATATTATACAAGATCCTGACAATAGACTCAAGCCTCTTAAGCAATGCAAGGGACTACCATTGTAGACAATGTTTTTATAACACCAGAGACACTTGAGCCTATTCTTAACTTTCAATGACCTTTCCAACAGGACTTGTTCAAATTTAACCTAAGTCAACTTTCCATAGTATCTAGAAGAGATCCATGCAATCTTTATCTAGGCCTCTCTCCACACACTCTTTGAAGTTACATTATTTCTTAATCACTCTTCAGCCATTGGTAAATACACTGCCTTCTCCAAATCAAACAAAAAGTCTCCATGTTCTCCAGCTAGTGGATGATGTCAGAAGAAAAATTGAAGGAAACGTTTATATTTATGCCACAAGTCAATACATTGTGACCTTCACTTTAGCTTTCAAGAAAAGCAAATCAGATAACTAGAAATGGCGTAGTTTGTCACAAGAATGTATTTCAAGAACTCAGTTATCAGTTTTGTCATTTTCTAATATCACAGGAGTGTAGTCATTGTGTGCTCTGCAAATATAATTTGCCTTCTTTGCAGTTGCTTCATTTTTCCATGCACAGAGCTTTGCATTTGAAAGTATCTTTGCACGATGTAGCAGAACCCTGTTAAAAAAGATTAGAAATTCTAAAGGCTAAAGGACACATCTTTTCCTCTTCTCTGAAAAATGCAGACTCAACATTAGAGAAGGGCCAGATGCGGTGGCTCACTTCTGTAATCCCAGCACTTTGGGAGGTTGAGGCGGGTGGATCACCTGAGGTCAAGAGTTCGAGACCAGCCTGGTCAACATGGCAAAACCCCCATCTCTACTAAAAATACAAAAATTAGCCAGGTGTGGTGGCACACACCTGTAATCCCAGCTACTTGGGAGTCTGAGGCAGGAGAATTGCTTGAACCTTGGGGACAGAGGTTGCAGTAAGCCAAGATTATGTCACTTCACTTCAGCCTGGGTGACAGAGCAAAACTCCTTCTCAAAAAAAAAAAAAAAAAAAAAAATTAGAAAGGATTTGTATTTTGACATATGCAGTGCACATAAAACCAGAATAAGAACCTACCATGGATTCCTAGTACATCGTGTACTAGGAACTCCCCCTGTAGTTTCACCTCACACAATCCACGATTTTATCTCACTACTTGCTGTCATGTAACCTCCCCTTTGAATGGGATGGCTTTTTCACTGTCCCTTACCCCACCTCCCTCCCTCAACTCCCTACCCTTCCCACCATATACTTATTCCTGCATGCATGCCTTTGCCCATTGTTTTCCACTCACCTAAAATACCCTCAACCCACAAGTAAATCCATAAATATATTAAATATAGGTGAAGATGCTGCACTTTCTACCTTATCTCTTCTAGATTTAGGCTTGCAAGGCTAAATTCCCCAGGCTTCTTTATCCTGAATGATAGCAACCACTGCTTTACTTGGCACTGTAATCAAATTAGCTAGGATTCGCAAATGAATGCTTGATTGAATTGGAAGAAACACTTTTTCGTCTCAGTCATGCTTTATATTGAGCGCTTTATTCAAGGGAAAAAAATTAATTGCATAAGCATAGGTATCTTTTATGTGAAATGTCTGGGGATTTTTATTGTGGTAAAATATATGTAATATCAAACTTACCATTTTAACCATGTCTAAGTGTCCCGTTCAGTGGCATTAAACACAATCAGCTTGTTGTGCAACCATCACCACCATCCATCTCTAGAACTTTGTCATCTTCCCAGACTGAAATTCTATACATTGAAAAGCAACTCCCCACTCTCCCCTGCCACCACGATTCGATTTCTGTCTCTAGGAATTTGACTACTGTAGGAACCTCACATAAGTGGAATCATACAATATTTGTCCTTTTGTGTCTGGCTTATTTCACTTGGCATAATGTCTTCAAGGTTCATCCCTGTTGTAGCATATGTCAGAACTTCATTTCTTCTTAAGGCTACATAATATTCTATTGTATGTATATATCACATTGTCATCCATTCATCTGTTGATGGACATCTGGGTTGTTTCCACCTTTGAGCTATTGCAAATAATGCTGCTGTGAACATTGGCGTACAAATATCGATTCAAGTCCTTGCTTTCAATTCTTTTGTGTATATACCCAGAAATGGAATTGCTGGTTCATATGGTAATTTTTTTTTTTTTTTTGAGACAGTCTCACTCTGTCTCCCAGGCTGGAGCACAGTGGCATGATCTTGGCTCACTACAACCTCCGCCTCCCGGGTTCGAACGATTCTCCTGCCTCAGCCTCCTGACTCACTGGGATTACAGGCACACTCCACCACACCCAGCTAATTTTTTGTAGTTTTAGTAGAGAAGGGGTTTTTACCATGTTGGCCAGGCTGGTTTCGAACTCCTGACCTCAGGTGATCCACCCGCCTCAGCCTCCCAAAGTGCTGGCATTACAGGCATGACCCACCGCACCCAGCCTCATATGGTAATTCTATGTTTAATGTTTTGATGAACCATCATATGGTTTTTCACAGTGCTGCACTCTTACATTCCTTCCATCATGTGCATATAATTTTAAATTATAGCAAAAGATAAATATAAATGTAGATCCTCACTCATTGACACTTTGCTGTTTTTAATCACTGTTTAGGGCAGGTGCAGTGGCTCACACCTGTAACCTCAGCACTTTGGGAGGCTGAGGCGGGTGGATCACCTGAGATCAGGAGCTCGAGAGCAGCCTGGCCAATATGGTGAAACCCTGCCTCTACTAAAAATAGAAAAATTAGCTGGGCATGGTAGCAGGCACCTGTAATCCCAGCTACTCAGGAGGGTGAGGCAGGAGAATAACTTGAACCCAGGAGGCAGAGGTTGCACTGAGCCAAGACCATGTCACTACACTCCAGCCTGGGCAACAAGAGCAGAACTCTGTGTTAAAAAAAAAAAAAAAAAAAAAATTACTGTTTAGTTTCACTAGAATAGTACCAAGAGATGGTAAAAATACCACTCATCCTGAGCCTTTCCCAGAACTTTGGCATTAAAGGGGCTCAGAGCACGTTAGCATCAAACACTCTTCTTGCATGCAGTCTTCTTTGAAGCAACTTTATCTGAGACAAAATTATCAAAGAAAAGGCTCATTTGCCCTTTGAAGATTCCTCTGAACAACTTTTGCTTCCCATCTCCCTCACAGCAAAGTAGAATTCCCATAATTTATTAAAACAAACAAAAAAATTTTCAGAAGTTTCCATAGCAGCTTGCTATTAAATGTTCATGAATAGGCTTTTTTTAAATCTGAAAGGTATTCTATTTCCCTCCTCCCACTATCTCCCACTCCAATCAATCTTGCATCTGCTAACAATTAATTGAATTTAGTTTTAAATACTAACCACATTAACTGCTTCTTATTCAGCTTTGGCACAGAAGTAGGATGTTACCAAAATCCCAGCTGGTAATCAGAAATTAACTTCTTAAACCACATGCAGCAAGACACTAAAATCATATAAAGGGAGTTTTCAAATATCTGCCTTGAGCACTTCCCATTTGTATTTCTCTCTCCTTTCACTCATATCTTGTATTATTTTAGGGCTATACCACAACATGTAGCACTTAATTCTATTCCATATTATTATTCCCTTGATTTGTGTATTGTCATTTGTCTTCCCAGCTACGGTGTAAACACTTTCAAAGCAGGTTCTGGATGTTATGTTTCTTTTTATTTCCTATCTGCATCGTAACACAGCACTCACTTGTTGGTCCAAAGAACATACTTGTCTGGCTGATTCCTTGAGGTTCACAGTGGCTCACATTGTGAGTGCTCAATAAAACATTAAGCAAAATCATTCACTAACATGGCAGGAAAAAATTAAAAATTAAGAAAACATTAAGCAACAATCTTTTTGTCCATAGGTTCAACTAAATCATCCTTGAGTTTCACACTTTATTCAAGTATCCTGACTCTCTAACTCCAGTATCTAAGTGAGTGATCTAACCACACTCAGAGTGACAAGGCAAGGACACAGGTGAAGCATGCTTCTTGCTCTTACACCTTATGTGTGCTACATTCCTGAAATTATTTAAATACATTTCACCCTGTCTTGAAATCACCAGACAACAAGAAATCAAGCAGCACATGGACAGCCAGGGAGATGGGAGACACTTAACAGTGCAACCAGTAATTCTACAGAGGAGGCCCGGTTTTAGGTGAGGAATAAGCCTTCAGCAAGTCCACTTTATGAGCAAGAAAAGCAGCGGCAAATGCCATTACACATATGACTTCATGATCACAAAAGCGAATGGAAACTGTGTATACATTTCATGCACAATCTTTTTGCCCTCAATGTGGTGAAGCAGCTATTCATAAATGGAAAAAGAGTTCATCTTACAGCAAATAATGACAATGATAGTGACAACAGTGATCATAGCAACTACCGAACACTGAATTTGTACCAAGCAATTTGCTAAGTCACTTTCTTGCAACACCTATTTTATTGGCAGGGTTACTTAGATTAAATATCATGGCCACTTACTTAGGAGTAGTCCTGGTATTAAATCCTAAATGTACTGGACTCCAAAGTCTGTGTCACATGTTTTATCCATTAAACTAAGCCAGAGGGTCACTGAGGATGTCCCCCAACTTTCCCTTTTCCTCCCAAAAAAGACTAGCACTTGTCTAATGCCCTTAAAAAATCTGGTTAGTGGCCTGGTGTCTCGAGAATTTGTCCAAAGTACTATGAGAACATCACCTACCCCCAACCCCTCTTTTTTTAAAAATTTTGTTTAGATACAGGGTCTCACTCTATCACCCAGGCTGGAGGGCAGTGGTGTGATAATAGCTCACTGCAGCCTTCACCTCCTGGGCTCAAGCAATCCTCCCATATCAGCCTC
The DNA here is from genome assembly GCF_000001405.40 of Homo sapiens. Lineage (NCBI taxonomy): Eukaryota > Metazoa > Chordata > Mammalia > Primates > Hominidae > Homo > Homo sapiens. The sequence continues at coordinate 75,995,135 of NC_000012.12, forward strand.
CTGAGTAGCTGGGACCACAGGAGAGCACCACTGATCCAGGCTAATTTTTAAATTTTTAGTAGAGACAAGGTATTGCTATGTTTCCCACACTGTCCTAATCCTAACATAACTATATAATTTACTATCTAAACTAGGTCTCTATTATGTAGGACAAATGTTAAACCAACTGAGTCAAGAGAAAAACAGGCATTAGCCACATTGTCCAAAGCAAAGTAAAATCTACCTACATATTAGGTTTTTCCTCCTTAATCCAGCTATTTCTGATAGCAACACCATAAATTAAGTGGCTAATTATATTTGAAGTACTAAATAGCTAATGTAGTTCTTTAAAGCAAGGTCAATTGAACTATAATTTACACAATAAAAATTAACTTTATTTAAGTATACAGTTTATTAATTTGAACCATCATAAAGAGTTGTGTAACCACAACAATCAAGATATAGGATATCTCACCATAAAAGTGCCCTACATAGTTCACCCTCTCCCCACCCCATCTGTCCCTGTAGTTTTGCGTTCCCCAAATGTTATATCAAAGTAATCAAATCATGTAGCTTTTGAGTTTGGTTTCTGTCAGTTAGCACAATGTATCTGAGATGTATCCATGTGGTTGTAGTATCAGTAGTCCACTCCTTTCTATTGAGAAGTAGTCTGGATATACTACAAGTTGTTCATCTATTTCATTCACCAGTGGATAGACATTGGGCTGTCTTCCAATTTTCAGGGATTATGAATAAAGCTGATGTAAACATTCACATACAGGTTTCAGTGTGGGTATATGTCATTATTTCTCTTGTGTAAATATCTAGAAGTGGGAATTATGGGTTATATGGTAAGTGTACATTTAACATATAAGAAACTGCCAACTATTTTTTCAAAGTGCCCTTCCTTTTTTGCATTCCACCACCAATGTATGAGAATATCAGTAACTCCACATCCTTGCCAGCACTCCATGTTCTCAGTTTTTTTAAGCCATTCTAATAGGTATCACATCGTGGTTTTAACTTTCCTTTTTTTTTTTTTTTTTTTTTTTTGAGACATAGTCTCTCTCTGTCACCCAGGTTGGAGTGCAGTGGTGCAATCTCAGCTCACTGCAACTTCCACCTCCCAGGTTTAAGCAATTCTCCTGCCTCCGCCTCCCAAGTAGCTGGGATTACAGGCACATGCCACTGTGCCCGGCTAATTTTTTGTATTTTTAGTGGAGACAGCGTTTCACCATGCTGGCCAGGCTGGTCTCGAACTCCTGACCTCATGATCTGCCCACCTCCACCTCCCAAAGTGCTGGGATTACAGGAGTGAGCCACCATGCCCGGCCTAACTTTCTTTTTTTTAATGACTAATGATGTTGAATATCTTTTCACGTGTTTATTGGTCATCTGTGTATCTTTATTGATGAAATGTCCATTTAAATCTTTAGCTCATGTTTGGATGTTATTATTGCTTGTTCTATTTTTATTAAGTGGTGAGAGTCTGTCATATATTCTGGATAGCTAACATATTTTTTGAAATTAAAAACTGTATGATTGCTATCTGTTTCACAATGGAAATATACTTAACACTAATGAACTGTACACTTAAAAATGGTTAAGATGGTAAATTTTATGTTATGTGTTTTTTACCCCAATTTTTTTTTAAAGTGTATGATTGCTGAATTTCACTCTAGAAGTCAGATTGCAATGTGCGCTTTTCCAGGAAATCATCCAAGAAGCCAACTGCTAATATTGCCTCGTACCCCAGAATCCAATGTCTACAACTCTAGAAAGGCCAGAGAACTGGTCCCAGGCCCAGCCAAGATGAGTTATTCTTGGAGATCCAAGGATGATGAAGCACATGGGAAATTCCTGGTGAAAGGCATGGTGGGATATCCAAGATTATTACTGAAAGGCACTATGGGATATCCAAGATTGTTAGTGCAAGCTTGAGTGATATCCAAGACTCTTGGTGCCAGATACTGGGAGATATCCAAACATCTGTGAAATCCAGTCCTCTGCTTTCAAGAAGTTGCCTTCTAGCTGGGATAATAAGACACAGAAAATTAACAATACCAAGTTGCACAAAATTAGTGCTAAATGAGTACTGCAGACATAGGAGTTCCAGATGTCCAGAGTAGCAAAAAGGGCCCCAAGAGACTTTACAGAAACTCCAAAAGTGGACATGTTTGGGCAGCAGTAAATAGAAAAAAGTTTGCTGGAACTCCGGGGACTCTTACTAAGTGTCAGATAACCATATCTGAGAAAAGTATTTCCTACCACATAGGGTTATCATAATGACTAAATACATATAAAGTTCCTGTGGCAAGGACATAATAAATGCCCTCAGGGTTCTAGTTAGTATTTTATAATTTCTCCTGTAATGTACATATTATTATCTCAATTTAAACTTTTTATTTTGAACTAATTTTAGACTTACATAAAAGTCACAAAAATAGTATAGAGCATGTTCTTATATCCCTCACCCTGCTTCCTTTAATGTTAACATCTTACATAACCATGGTATAATGATCAAAGAGTAAATTAACATTGGTGCCAACATTATTAACTCAAAAGCAGACTCTATTAAAATTTCACCAGTTTTTCTGCTAATGTCCTTTTTCTGGTCCAAGATCCATCCAGAATCCTATATTGCATTTGTTGTTGCCTTGATTTCCTCCTGTGCCTGTTGCTCATTCTTTCCTGTTTTTCCTGACCTTGACACTTTTGAAGAGTGCTGGTCAGTTATTTTGTAGAATGTCCTTCCGTTTAGGTTTGTGTGATGTTTTCTCATGATTAGAATGAGCTTATACAATTTGGGCAAGCATATTAGAGAAACGATGCTATGTTCTTCTCGGTGCATCATAGTAAGTTATTGTGTCCATTTTCAAGATGAAGATTCTGAGGCTCAGAAAAGGATCCACAGCTAATGAGTAGCAACACCTAGATATGGAAACAAAATTTGACTGTCACCGGCTGCCTCTGTACAGGAAATGGATGAAAAAACATTTGGGGGCTGGACACAGTGGCTCACGCCTGTAATTCCAGAATTTTGGGAGGCCAAGGCGGGCAGATCACTGGAGGTCAGGAGTTCGAGGCCAGCATGGCCAACATGGTGAAACCTCGTCTCTACTAAAAATAAAAAAATTAGCCAGACGTGGTGGTGCATGCCTGTAATCCCAGCTACTTGGGAGCCTGAGACAAAAGAATCGCTTGAACCCAGGAGGCAGAGGTTGCAGTAAGCCAAGATCGTGCATCACTGTACTCCAGCCTGGGTGACAGAGAAAGATTCCTTCTAAAAAAATAAAAAATAAAAAAAGTTTGGAATGAGACTTTGTAAAAGTCAGAGGGACTTTGTAAAAGTGGGAGGTGTTGGAATGCAAAACTGATGAGTTAGAGCTGTATTCAGAGATTGGGTAATTATTAAAAGAGCTTGAGCAAGGTATTAAGACATGAAAAGCAGTATTTGGAGGCAATTAACCTGAACACAGGACAGGCATATCTTTGAGATATTGCAGACCACCACAAAGAAGTAATTATCATAATAAAGCAAGTCACACAAAGTTTTTGATTTCCTAGTGCATGTAAAAGTTATGTTTACACTATACTGTAGTCTTTAAGTGCACAATAACATAATATTTGAAACAATAATGTGCATACCTGAATTTTAAAATGCTTTATTGCTAAAAAATGTTAACAATTATCTGAGCCTTCAGTGAGTCATAATCTTTTTGCTGGTAGAGGGTCTTGCCTCGATGTTGATGGCTGCTGACTAATCAGGATGGTGATTACAGAAAGTTGGGGCAGCTGTGGCAATTTCTTAAAATTAGACAACAATGAAATTTGCCATAAGGATTTCTCTGTAGCATGCAATATGTTTTGATAGCATTTTATCCACAGTAGAACTTCTTTCATAATTGCAGTCGATCCTCTCAAACCCTGCCACTGCTTTATCATCTAAATCCTTTGTTCTTTTTTTTTTTTTTTTTGAGACAGAATCTCCGTTGCCCAGGCTGGAGTGCAGTGGCAAGATCTCGGCTCACTGCAACCTCCGCCTGCCAGGTTCAAGTGATTATCCTGCCTCAGCCTCTCAAATAGCTGGGATTACAGGCATGTGCCACCATACCTGGCTAATTTTTGTATTTTTAGTAGAGATGGGGTTTCACCATGTTGGCCTGGCTGTTCTCCAACTCTTGACCTGTTAACCTCAAGTGATCTGCCTGCACTGGCCTCCCAAAATGCTGGAATTACAGGCATGAGCCACCATGCCCAGCCTAAATCCTGTGTCCTAATTTCAACAATGTTCACAGCATCTTCACCAAGAGTAGATTCCATTTTAAGAAGTCACTTTCATTGCTCATCCATAAGAAGCAACTCCTCATCCATTCAAGTTTCAGCATGAGATTGTAGCAATTCAGTCACATCTTCAGGCTAATTCTAATTCTAGTTCTCTAACTATTTTCACCACATTTCAGTTACTCCCTCCACTGAAGTGTTGAGGCCCTCAAAGTCATCCATGAGGGTTGGAATCAACTTCTTCGAAACTCCTGACAATGTTCATATTCTGAGCTCCTCCCACGAGTCACAAATGTTCTTAATAGCATCTAGAATGGTGAATCCTTTCCAGAAGGTTTTTATTTTGCTTTGCCCAGATCCATCAGAGGAATCAGTACCTATGGCAACTATAGCCTTATGAAATGTATTTTTTAAATAGTAAAACTTGAAATTTGAAATTCCTCCTTGATCCACGGGCTGAGGAATGCATGTAGTGTTAGCAGGCACAAAAACATTAATCTCTTGGTACAACTCCATCAGAGCTCCTGGGTGATCAGATGCATTTTGTCAAAGAACAGTAATATTTTGAAAGGAATATATATATATTTTAGCAGTAGGCCTCAACAGTGGGCTTAAAATGCTCAGTAAACCATGCTGTCAACAGATATGCTGTCATCTAGGCTTTGTTGTTCCATGTAGAGAGCACAGGCAGAGTAGATTTAGAATAATTCTTAAGGACCCTAGGACTTTTGGAATGGTCAATGAGCATTAGCTTCAACTTAAACTCACCAGCTATACTAGCCCCTAACAAGACAGTCAGCCTGTCCTTTGAAGCTTTGAAGCCAGGCATTGACTTCTCCTTTCAAGCTATGGAAGTCCTAGATGGCATCTTTTTCCAATATAAGGCTGTTTTGTCTACATTAAAAACCTGTTGTTTAGTGTAGCTGTCTTCACAAATTATCTTAGCTAGAACTTCAGGATAACTTGCTGTAGCTTCTAAATCAGTACTTGCTGTCTCATCTTGTACTTTGATGTTATAAAGATGGCCTCTTTCCTTAAACCTCATGAACCAATCTCTGCTGGCTTCACACTTTTCTTCTGCATCTTCCTCACCTCTCTCAGCCTTCATGGAAAGGAAGAGAGTTAGGGCTTTGCTCTGGATTAGGCTTTGGTTTAAGGGACTATTGTGGCTGGTTTGTTCTTTCTCCATACCAACTAGAAGGCTGTTTCCCTTTCTTATCATTTGTGCATTCTCTGGAATAGCACTTTTAATTTTCTTCAAGAACATTTCCTTTGCATTCACAACTTGGCTAACTGGTAGAAGAGGCCTAGCTTTTGACCTATGTCCGCTTTTGACATATCTTTCTTACTAAGTGTAATCATTTCCAGCTTTTGATTTAAAATGAGACATGAGACTTTTCCTTTCACTTGAACACTTAGAGGACATTGTATGTTATTAAGTGGCCTAATTTCAATATTTTAGTGTCTCGGGGAATAGTAAGGCCTGAGGAGAGAGAGATGGGGCAACAGCGGGTTGGTGGAGCAGTCAGAACACACACAACATTTAACAATAAAGTTTCGGGTGTGGTTCTTGGTGCCTCAAAACAATTACAGTGGTAACATCAAAGATCACTGATCACAGATCACCATAACAGATATAATACTAATTTTTAACATTTGAAATATTGTGAAAATTACTGAAATAGAAGCACGAAGTGAGCACCTGCTTATTGGAAAAATGGTACAGACTTGCTTGACACAGGATCTCCACAAACCTTCAGTTTGCAAAAAATGTGATATCTGCAAAGTGTGGTAAAGTACAATAAAACGAGGTATGCCTGTACTGTATAAAAAATGGATTGGAAAAGGGAGGGAGTAGTGGCAAGGAAGTCCTAAGACTCTACTGGGACACTCCAAACACAAGGCAGGGAGGGCCCACCAGCTTTCATCCAGGTGCTACCAAGGAGCAACTGAATAAAAAACCATTATTCGGCTTTTTAAAAATGTAGATCCCTGAGTCACACACAAGACCTCTGTTGAATCAGAATCTCTGGGTGTGGGGACCAAGTATTTACATTTTCATCATTCTCTCCAGGTAATTCTTAACTCATTAACTAATTTAAATAATTACATATAGAAGAAAATAGAAGATCAACTAAGTCAGAGGTCAGCAAACTTTTTCTGTAAAGGGCCAGACAGTAAATATATTAGGTTTTATAGGTCTAAAGAATTTTAGGCTTTGCAGTCTCTGTCACCAGGACCAGTTATATAATTTGTAAGGCCCAGTGTAAAATAAAAATGCAGAGTCCCCTTTTTAAAAATTATTAATATCTGCAAGATAGTTGCAGCTGAGCGTTAAACCAAGCAGGAGATCATTCTAAAGGCTGGGGCTTTCTATGACCATACAGGTCTCACGCCTGTGAAGCCAGCCCTGTCTATTACAACTGTTCGCCCCTGCCATTGTAGTGTAGAAGAATCCATAGACAAGTAAATGAATGGGCAGGGGACATCATGATTTGGCTCAGGGCTGTTGTCTGCCAACCCCTGAAGTAGACCATCTTTTAGCATGTCAGCATGCTCATAATATTCACAAAGTTTATGAAATGCTAACATAAAAAATAGAAAATAAGCCAGGCATGGCGGCTCATGCCTGTAATCCCAGGACTTTGGGAGGCAGGTAGATCACTTGAGGTCAGGAGTTTAAGACCAGCCTGGCCAACATGGCGAAACCCATCACTACTAAAAAATACAAAAATTAGCTGGGTGTGGTGGCATGCACCTGTAATCCCAGCTACTTGGGAGGCTGAAGCAGGAGAATTGCTTGAACGCAGGAGGCGAAGGTTGCAGTGAGCCGAGATTGTGCCACTGCACTCCAGCCTAGGCAATAGAGCTAGACTCCATCAAAAAAAAAAAAAAAAAGAAAGAAAATAAAAAATAATAAAAATAAAATTGTTTATTATTTACTGAATAAATACAAATGCATACAAGGGTTAACTTAGCTAGGTAAATCTTCAAACGAATTTTATTTATATTGGTATTTTTACTTAATGCAAGAGAATGAAAAAGTTGCATTGCATGGAGAAAGAAACAGGGATGCTTAGATACCAAAAGAACATCACGGTTCAGGACGTCTCTGATGCAAGCCTTGTTCCGGGTTTATCTCCCATCTATACATCATAACTCAGTTCAAATTCTTCAAAGAAATGTATAATCTGTTCATTCTACAAGATTATCCAAAAAGTAAAGACAGTTTTTGCATTTGACTCAGAAATCAGATTATGGCAATAAGGAATTTTCTATCAGAGTAATCTAAGAATGATTTAGAATTCAATTGAAATTGGAAAAAAAATAGCAACTTCCAACCAGCAATATCTAATCAGCTTTTTCCCTGATGTAACATTCCAGCTATAACACTGTATGTTCTACTGTGTCTGACATGGTATTACTGTCTCCTACCAAAAGGCCTTAGCTGCTCTCTCCACTAATAAAATTAAACCATTAAAAAAAAAAAACCAAGATAGTATATTTAAATGTAATAACATTTATGAAAAGCGACTAGCTCAGACACATAGCAGGTGGTTTACTTTACTCTCTTTAATGATAAAGCCATACAAAACAAGAATTAAAAGAAAGGCATTATCAGTTTATCAGAGGAAGAAAAAAATGCTTCCTGGCATTTTTTCCAGTCTTAATTATTCTGGTGCCCATGGCCATGACTGTTTTAGAAAAACATATGCTGCACAGCTGCAAATGCAAACCTGATTACCTCTAAATTAACAACATGTAGGAGGCAACACTTGCAGCTGTGAGAGAGAACCCCAGTGCAACACAATCCCCCTAACATTTGTAACTGTTTATTTTATTATAAATATCTTTAAATAATCACAATAAAAATCCACAAAGAGAGATGAAACACAACAAAAGCAATAAAACTCACCATTGCCACTTCTTTTTCTTGACCAACCACTTGGGGTCATTATCATGTGAGGCCAAGTTGTTTTTCTTTGTTGATCCTCTGGCACTGAAGACATGGTATCTTTCAGCAGCTGCAAGAATCACAAAGGAGAGACTGCAGAGTCTCTCCTTCAGCAGCCAGGGAGCTGGCATTTCCAGCCTATACACCTCACGTCAAACACGGGAAGTTGGAGAAGAGAAATCACAGCTGGGCATTTCTGCTTAAGTTTCCTTTTTTGACAGCCAACTAATGTGCCATGTAATGAGAGGTCAGAAATCAGTCTGGGGGGTGGGGGGTCATTTCCTTGAGAAATAGCATTTCTTTCAACATGCATCAAAAGGAAGAAAAAGAAAGAAGGTTGTAGGTGACTTAGGGTCTGAAGCATTTTTGGTTTGGCCTGAACGAAGACTAACACCTGAGTAGGGAAGAACAATTGGTAAATTCATCAATCAGAATTTTGCTGAGCTCAGCTGGGCACGGTGGCTCACACCTGTAATCCCAGCACTTTGGGAGGCCAAGGCAGGTGGATCACAAGGTCAGGGGTTCGAGACCAGCCTGGCCAATATGGTGAAACCCCATCTCTACTGAAAATACAAAAATTAGCTGGGCATGATGGTGGGCACCTGTAGTCCCAGCTACTCTGGAGGTTGAGGCAGGAGAATCGCTTGAACCTGGGAGGCAGAGGTTGCAGTGAGCCAAGATCGCGCCACTGCACTCCAGCCTGGGCGACGGAGCAAGACTCCGTCTCAGAAAAAAAAAAAAGAATTTTGCTGAGCTCATGTTCAGTGAAACTTATATATCAGTGGTGTCCTCCACACCATGTAAGAATCTTCAAGAGACCCAAAAAACTACAGCCATGAACCGAATAACAGACATTTTGGTCAATGCAGAAAGATGATAATACCATGTTTTTATTATACCTTGTTTTTTCTTTAGTACACCAGTACATACCATTGTGTTTCAATTGCCTATAATATTCAGTACAGTAACATGCTGTACATGTTTGTAGCCTAAGAGCAATAGGCTGTACCATATGGCCTAAGTGTGTAGTAGGCCGTGCCATCTAGGTTTGTGTAAGTACATTCTGTGATGTTCATATGATGAAATCTCCTAATGGAGCATTTCTCAGAACATATCTGCATCATTAAGTGATGCATGACTCTCTATATAAATGCTCTATGCTTGACCTAGAAGCTTTAACTCTATCGTTGTTGAGGAGGTAGAACATATTCTTATGAAACCATGGAGGACTGAGTACTAACTGATTTGGTAAAGATCCTAAATGCTGTGGAATTGGAAGAAAGAGGAGAGTAGCGAGCAAGTTATGACTGTAAGTAAATTCCTTAACCTCACTGAGTTCAGATTCCTCATCCATAAGATGAGTATTATGATGCGCACCTCATAGATTGTTGTGAAGATGACATGGGATTATAGACTGGCACATAGTAGGCCTGCAAATTTTAGCTGAATCTCTATCTGAAGCAAATGTCTGGAGAACCCAGTAGGGGAAAATATGAGTGTGTGAACATGGCATTTTTATTTGGCAGCAAGGAGACTGGGCCAGTAAGAGCAAAGGATTTGTGTCAGCCTGTACCATGAGGTCCAAGGGCAGCAGCGATTGTAGAGCCAGGTATAGTGATAGACTGTTGTCCATGAAGGCAGGAGAACTAACTGCTGGTGTGTGACTTAATAAGGCAGAGGCTGCCGGCTTTTCTCCAAACTTCATGGTCTTGTCGTGTACCTGGGCATGGGTGGATCATGTGCTGAGACTCCCTTGCAGCTAAGCGTGGTCATGTGATTGTGAACCAGGCAACAAACATGGGTAGAAATAATGTATTCCAGCCAGGCACGGTGGCTCACGCCTGTAATCCCAGCAATTTGGGAGGCCAAGGTGGGCAGATCACCTGAGGTCAGGAGTTCGAGACCAGCCTGGCCAACACGGTGAGACCCCCATCTCTACTAAAAATACAAAATTAGCTGGCGTTGGTGGTGCGTGCTGGTAATCCCAGCTACTCAGGAAACTGAGGCAGGAGAATTGCTTGAACCCAGGAGGCGGAGGTTGCAGTGAGCCAAGATCATGCCATTGCACTCCAGCCTGGGCAAAAAGAGCAAGACTCTGTCTCAAAAAAAAAAAAAAAAAAAGAAAGAAAGAAATAATGTGTTCTGCTTCAGGACTAAGCCCATAATAGCCTCTTCTACAGGTTCTCCCTCCCTCTTTTCCTCTTCCAGCTGACATGGACAGAACTTCCAGCAGGACCTTGAATGTTAACGCATTACAGATGCCAGAACCTCTGTCTACCTAAGGCCCTCAGTGACTTTGTGAAGCAGAGTCTCACCTCCAGGCTGGAAACATCCTGGACTATTACATGAACAAGAAATAAACTTCACTGTGCTGCTACTTTTAGTAGGTCTTTTTGTTACTGCGATGTAAAATAACAATTCTAGCTGATGGAGCTAGGGATCTGCATGACGGAAACAGTGCTTTAACAAAATGGCATACCTGGGATTAAAGAAGGAATAATAAAATCACTAGCATTTATTGAGTGCCTATTGAATGCTTTAAATAATAACTTACATAATTCTTACTAGATGCCAGGAACTGTTGCATGCACTTTATGAATATTAACTAATGTTAGTTCTCTGAACTCTATTAGGTGGGTACTACCATTGTTCGCATTTCACAGATGGATAAACAGAGGTATAAAGTGTTGAAATAACTTGCCCAAGATCACATAGCCATATATAAAACCTCATTTGGGTCTTCCAACAACTAACTCTATGAAGTAGGTGTTACCATCCCTATTCTGAAGATGAGAAAACCAAGACTAAGAAGTCTTGAGTACATTTAAGGACATACCGCAAGGAAGTTGCAGCCACTGTGCTTGGGTCCCGGGAACTCCAGAGCCTGTGTCCTCTCACCCTGCCACACTGCCTCAGGGTCCGCAAGTCAGGAGCTCAACCTGGAGGCTTCTTGGGAACTAAACAGACAGAGGGAAAATGTTATTTACCCTTTATTGGCAAAGCTAATTATTCAGTGGGTTAATCCACCTCCCCATCTTTCATTAGATTTATTGCTGCTTTCCAGCAGAATAAATAACAGGCTTGAATTTCACCAATCTGTGAGAACCTCTTACATTTCCTGGGGGGATTCAAGGCTTTTTTTCAGCGTTATCCTATGAGAGTGGCTCAAACTGAGACAGGGGGCCTCCTAAGGCATTGAATTAATAGAGCGATGGGTTCATTAACAAATCTTTAAGAAGCTACTTTATAATAAGTTGCCTTTTCTTCTATTTTAAAGAAAATCAGCAGCAACAACACAAAAAGACATTGCAGGCAGGCCCCCAACAGCTGTCCTTTGTTGAGTACTGGGCGCAGCTGGCAGGCTTGTCTTCTGCTCTGGCCTCGTTTCTACACCTGTGCCTCCTCCCCGGCAGCTGTCACTCTCCACCTGGTCCCCACCCCTTGTCCCATCCAAATCAGGATGGATTTAAATAAGAAATTTTCAGCCACACTGTTTGATTATACAGTAACATGAATGCATTTTAATTCATTACTTCCACAGTATTTGTATTTTAAGGCTTTTATCTACGTCTGATTTGGGAGCAAAATCCATAATTCCCTATTAACTGAGATTTATGTAGTCCCCTGACAGGTAGAGAGCTAATTATCTGGAAAGCCTCTACTAGACCCCTCAAATCACATTGATTGATTGATTGATTGATTTGCTGGTAATTTCATTCAGAGCAGAGATTGTATCTTACTCAAGTTTTATCATAGACCTTATCAAAGTTCCTGGCAAGCAGGAAATACGCAATAAATGTTTATTAAAGGAAATTAATAAATGAAAGAGTGATGATGAACTAGAATGACAAAACAGTGGTTTCCTGCCCCTCAGATACTCTCTCACACACACACGCACACACACACAAGTACATGCACATACAGGCATTACACATACACACACATACATATCACACACAACACACACAAACACACAAGTGCATACATACACACAGATACCATACACAGCACACCATCGACATACAAGTGCATGCATATACAGACACCACACATACACACATACACATCACAAACGCACAAGTGCATACATACAGGCACCACAAACACAAACACACATGCACACACATGTGAACACACATACAAGTACATGCATACACACAGACACTACATTTACATAGACATCAGACCGACATCACACACATGCCATAAATGCATGCTACACACAGACACCATACACATCACATACACATATACAGAACACACACATCACCAAGACACACATATGCACACACACACGTGCATGCATACACAGACATCACACACATACATATCACCCACACACATACACACATGCACACACCCCACACACACGGTTTTCTAAGGACTGGCTCAGGAATAGCTGCAAGGGACCCCTGCTTGGAATAGGAGATAACAAATGATGCTAGCCCTTGTCACCAAATTCCTTCAGAACAGGAATTCTCCGCTCTCCTCCCCTTCACTGGCAGGAGTACGGCAGGGCTCCTTCCTACATCTCCCGGAACCACAGGTCAGTCTACGGCAGGGCTCCTTCCTACATCTCCCGGAACCACAGGTCAGTCCAACCCTCCTGTTGCTCAAGACACTCAGGCATATATTTTGTGCTTCTACAGCACGTAAATTCCCTACAGTCAGTACTGAGTGTTTTGCTAGCCCTTACTCTGTCATTCTCAATTAAACACTGTTACCTCTTCTCTTATCTTCACCTCTGGTAATGCAGTCTCTAACAAGATGTTGTGAAAAATCACTGTGTAATTAACAGAGGCATTATGGTATCCTTGACCTTAAATCTAGTGATGTACCAGGTAAATAAAAGTAGAATAGCAACAGCTGATGTATTTTAAGCCTTTACTATGCCATTGCTCTATACTCACTTCCTTGTTTAATCCTCCCAAAAAATCATTAAGGTATGTGTTATTATTCTTGTTCTTTTTTATAGATGAGAAACTGAGTCTTGGAGGCATTAAATCGCCCGCACTCACACAATGGGCAAGCTGGAACTAAAATTCATAAAACCTGACAACAAAGTAAATGTTCTTACTATCAGTACACCAACTATTCTGAATGCACCAGTTATTATCTGGTATAGCGGAGAGAATATTGGCTTGGAGTCCAAAGACCATGGTTTAAATCCTGATTTTGCCACAGGCTATTTTGGGCAAGTTCCTTAACCTCTTTATTTCCTCATCTGTAAAGTTCAGATAACAATAATTAATTTATAGGTTTATTGTAGGCATTACAAGAGGTAACACATGAGCTGGGTGTGGTGGCGTGCACCTATAGTCAGCTTCCTGGGAGGCTGAGGTGGGAAGATCACTTGAGCCCAGGAGTTCAAGTCAAGCCTGGGCAACCCAGCAACACCCTGTCTCTTAAAACAAAACAAAACAAAAAAGAGATTCAAGCACTTTGGGAGGCTGAGGTGGGCGGATCTCTTGAGGTTAGGAGTCCGAGTCCACCCTGGTCAACATGGCAAAACCCCGTCTCTACTAAAAATACAAAAAAAGTAGCCAGGCATTGTGGCATATGCCTATAATCCCAGCTGCTTGGGAGGCTGAGGCACAAGAATCACTTGAATCCAGGAGGTGGAGATTGCAGTGAGCCGAAATTGTGCCATTGCACTCCAGCCTGGGTAACAGAGTGAGGCACTGTCTCAAAAAAAAAAAAAAAAAAAAAAAAAAAAAAAAAAAAAAAAAGAGAGAGATAACATACACAAAGCACTTATTACCATAGTGTCTGACACCAGGAAGGGGTCAGTTACAGTTAAAGTCTCCTTCATTTTTCCTACCCCACTGTTTGTAGCCCTCATCCATTGACCAGATGTCAGAGAAAAATATATGAAGTTTTCTGTGTGTGTCCCCAAAAAACTAGATCACCTCAACCTGTTGACCAAGTTGAACCATTTTAAAACAAAAACAATATTTCTATCCCATAGGAAACACAGGGCAGATAGTCTTCACCAGACACTGCAGGAAAGCAGGGATAGAGAGGTGGTATTTGTCCTGCACAGACCTACCCCTCCCTACTGGTTGGTGACACCTCATGCAGAGAATTTTATGCAGCCAGTCACTCTTCCTCTTCTCTTTTAGATTTGAGGCACTCTTCATGAGAATCATCAAAGCTACTAATTCCTCCAGTTATTGGCACATGATGTATTGAAAGCTAATGATTCTTGACTTCTTACAGATACGGTCAAGAACAGCGAATGCTTCCTTTCTGCTTATTAAGAGCACAGAAATTTTGGATAAATGTAAAGCAGCATAAGAAAGTTGCATCTATATAGAAGCAGAGTCAAGAATGATTGTATCATATGGTAAAATAATTAAAACAGTTGATACCTATACAGGGGTTTCAATTACCTGAGTGTTTACTTAAAAGCAGGTTTTACATCTAGCTGATAGAGCTAACTGTCCCAATTCTTAATATTCATTTAGAATTTAGACACAGTCAGGATTAACACCTGCTGAAATATGATATTGTATCTTGGCTCAAGAATAGATTGCTTGTGAAATATAATGACTGAATTTCAGGTAAGCAAATGCAAACAGAAATGTCGGTCTATTCAAACTTCCTTTCCCTGGCTTGAGATTTGTTAATTTAATTGATATAAAGCAATACTCTATTGTGCTAAAAATCATGGATTTTTTTTAAAACAAAATAGTTTTATAATAGAAGTAGAGACCATAAAATGTGTTTATGCGCAGTATTTTACCCAATACCCAACATACGGTAAGCAGTCACTAGCCAGAAGCCACTTACAATACTTGCAGAAGTACTAGAAATGATAATAGTTGTATCTATCACTTATGTGCCAGGCACTAAATATATTTATTTATATACATTTATAATTTCAAAACAAGGCCTATCCACAGATCAAGATTATCATTACCATTTTACAAACGAGAAAACAGGTTTAATAAAATATTAAGTCCACTAAGCAGTAGAGCTGAGATGTGGAGTCTAGAACTAATTCCACAGCTTGCCTAGGCCTTGCTCTGCAACACCAGGCTGTGCTGAGCAGGATTAACTGGTCAATGAGCAAGGTTGTCTCAGGACCTTACCCACTGGAAAACCAACCTGTTTGGACATCAAAGGAGACCCAATACCCTGGCCATCTTGGCCTCTGCATCCCCTTTCCTCACATCCCTGCCACCTCCTTCTTTTCCACCCTGGGAAAATCTGGCTGAGAGATGGAGAGCACTGGGGCTGAGGAGAGGGCTTGGGAGGCTGGAGGTGGGTTCAGACATGGCTCTGGGTAATAGCACATGTGTGTTTCTTGATTAATGTCAGAATGCTCTGGCAGAAGGGGTGCTGTGAGTTGCCAAAAGCCAGGAGGGCATTTTCCTCTTTGCTGAGTGGCTGATGCTCAGAGACACATCTCTATTCTTTGAAGCTGGTCTGCTTTGTTTACAATTATGCCCTAGTCATTAGCCAACGGGGACTTTGGGAGTAGCTTGTTCTGGGAATACTTCCTGTCAGGTTTTTCCCAGCCTGTCTTTGGAATGCCTCTCCAATCCACTTCATGACTCCAGGGGTGGTCCAATGTGCCCAAAGGGACTCTGCCTTTGTGCTCAAAAGGATTCCCAGCACTCAACTTCAAAAATAGCTTGGGGCTTACTAAAACCTAATTGAAAGAGTCTCTGTTTTTGCTTAAAAACACAAGTCTGGCCTGGTCTTTACAAGTGACTCATAAAGAATTATTTTGCTACTTGCTTTTTAAATTACATGTCACTGTCGGGTACTAATCTGTACGCTTATTTTGGAAACCCTGAGAAATGGCTACTAGGGTTTCTCTATCTGTCTGAGGAATCTTCAAGCCTCCAAGTAGAAGCAGCAACCGGACTTTGGTCTTGACAGTCAGACACCCAGGAGACTGGACTTAGCACTCCTGAGCTAAGAGGAGACTCAAGGCTGTCCTGCTATCCTGGAAGAGCAGAGGAGGAGGAAAGAAAGAAGACACATTGGTTATCAGGAACCACCCTGAGGGAAAGGCAGCCAAGGACAGGGCCCGTAGAGGGATCCAAACTGATGGACACTTGTGAATAAATATCACACACGATGGAGTCTCAAATGGCACCTGGTCCAGGCCCAGGGAAGCCTTTCTAAGTTCCTCAGGGGATGACACTGTAAACTGGAAAAGCCAGACTCACTTACGATGGAGGCCACAGCAGCAGCCATGGTTGATAGTAGCTTTGTCCATTAAGGGTTAACACCAGGTATTCAATGAGCTGCCTAGACCCTGTGGGGAAGGAGATGAGGAGACGACAATGAGAGGGTGGGGAGATCAAACCAAATACTATTGTCACTGTTGCCCAAGTCACAGTGATTTCCATGGTCAGGGGCTGGGATCTGGGACATTCCGATTTCTTACTATGCTATCAGTGAGGACTAGGTTAGCTCCTTTCCCCTTCCTGCCGCCTGTGCTTACCCCTACTGAGCTCCCCATGAGGCCTCCATCTTTTCTTCTTCCTGCCTCCTGTGCTTACCCCTACTGAGCTCCCCACGAGGCCTCTGTGTTTTCTTAGCCGTGAGTCTGACTCTCCACTGAACTCCATTTTCATCTCCAGGTTCATTCCTTTGCTGGTGATGTGCCATCACATGCTCCAACTGTACTTGCCACCAGGGAAATTGGAACTGCCCCATTCCTGGAGTTCTAGTGCTCTTGAGCCCCAGGCATTCCATGAGAGAAGCCTCCTTCTGGAAAGTCCCATGAGCACCTCATGCCGGGTGGTCAGACGTGCACCAAGGGCTGATAGTGTGAAGTGGTGTGGGCAGGGGGAGACACAGACCCTGGGCAGGAATCAAAGATAAAGCTTCTATCCACATAACAGGCAGATTGTCCAGATGTCCCACGCAAGGGCCTGGAAGAGATGAGGTTGCAGGCAGACCAAGGAGAAGGTGGAGGAAGGGAGGGGAGGAAGTACTGAAACAGAGCTCTTAGAAAGATGTTCACTGCTGGGCAACACCATCACCTCCTCTAGAAGGCATGGATAGCACCAAGTAAGTGTGAGAGCTTTGCCATCACCCTTCCAGGCAATTTGCTTTTAGTGTCTTTGTAACACTTGGAGTTTGCATCTTACTCAAAATCTCTCCCCGGTCTGCTTCCCTGGCAAAGTCTGTCTTGCTTTTTGCATCTTTGCCCCCTCTATAACTCCTACATCCCTTAGGAACCTGGTCTTCCTGGGAAAGCGTCTTCCACACATACCCCACCTCCACCTGCCATCTCACCCGCTACACACACTCAAAAATTCCCCAGCCCCTCAAACAGGGGGTAAGAGGAATCCCTTAGGACAAAAAGGTGCATCTCCTACCTGAAGAGCAACCTGGATTCTGCAGACTGAGGGAGGCGGCTCTGCTTCAGGGCTCTGCAGTCTCTGAAGTAAAATGAGATTCAAAGCTGGGAGGAGAAGGGTCATGGTCAGCTGCCCCTTCCACACTCCCACGCTGAGCCTCAGCATCTCTCCTGCCTGAGTGGTAGCCCTGTCCAAATGCCTAGGGCCTGGGCCGTTGAGGATTAGGCCTGAACCCAGTAATCCCCAAGGAGCTGCAGAAAGCCGACTTGATGGGTCTCCTGGTGATATCATTGCAGCCAGAGAGCACACACAGGGTGCAAGCAGTCAGATGAGACAGCCAGGACAGGAGGGGCTGCAGCCCTTCCACAACACCACAAAGACCCTCACATGCTCATTTTGGCAGGGCGCAGTGGCTCACACATGTAATCCCAACACTTTGGGTGGCTGAGGTGGAGGATCACTTGAGCCCGGGAGTTTGAGACCACTCTGGGCGACATAGTGAGACCCCATCTTTACAAAACATAAAGTTAAAAACATTAGCTGGGCATGGTGGCATTGCTCCGGTAGTTCCAGCTACTTGAGAGGCTAAGGTAGGAGAATGGTTTGAGCCCAGGAGTTTGAGGCTGCAGTGAGCTATGATTGCGCCACTGCACCACTCCAGCCTGAGCAACGAGTGAGATCTTGTCTAAAAACAAAACAAAACAAAAAGCTCATTTTTAAATGTTTATTATTTTTGTTTTTTGTTTTAAATAGCGATGAGTTGCCCATGCTGGCCTCAAACTCTTGAGCGAGAGTGATCCTCCTGCCTTGGCCTCCCAAAGTGCTGGGATTACAGGTGTGAGCCACCACACCCAGCCAGAAAGTTCTTTTTAAAAGGGGAGAAACAACAGCTCCAGAAGGGGCTTTGATAAATTATTTAATTTAAAAAAATCAAATTAAAGTAAAGAGGGTAAAGAGCTGGGTGAAAGCGAGCTAGGTGAAGAGCTTGCGTGTCCATCCTCCTGCCGAGATGTGGTGAGCTTGCCCTCATCCCATCAGCTGGACAGCTCTCCACTGAGCCTACCCATTCACCATGATTCTTGCTTTTCCTCAGCTAAGGCCCTGGGTGCAGGCTTAGCACTGTGGGGGGCCTCTGGGATGATGAGATGTTCTCATTAATTCCTCAGGCAGCAGTGTTTGCAGTTGGGAGACATGACTTCCATCCCGCTCCTTATAAAGTCATATGTTTTTCTTGAATAAATGCTAAATCAAACTAGTCTTTCTGTTTTTTCCCCTCAATTCATAACCTCATCATTCCACAAATAAAATGATGCCTTCAAAACCCACAGACTGTTTTGCAGGGTGGTCTGGGAGAGATGCCGCCTGAGCCGGCCTATGGCTCCAAACTCATCGCTGGAAGATCACAGCTGCCCTCTCCCCGGCCACTCTCTTTTCATGAGGAAAGGTGAGCCCGGCTGCCCTTGGTCTCCCCCAGGCCTGCTTACATTAAAGGGTTGGGAGTTAGCCTCCTGCCCTGAAAGGAATAGGGGTTCTGGAGTATCTCAGATCCGTATCAAATCACAGCTTTGCCGCATAATTGCCCTCTGCTCTTGGGAACTTTCTCAACTTCTGTAAGCTTCTGTTTTCTTATCAGTAAAAGGGAGATAACAATACCTATCTCGAGGCACTGTTATGATAAAAGACCTGTCATAAAATAAATGCTTAGAAAATGGGAACTATTATTGTTCAAGTTTTATTATATTTCCTCAATCGTTATTCTCTCCGTTTACATAATTGAAGTAAAACACTGCTCATTAGAGTGTGCAGGTAATAGAGGACTTGGCTTAAATAAATTTTCTGCCTAAATTAAGTCTTTTAAAACCATCCATTTTCACTTTTAGGTCATGGTGTAGAAAATAATTCTAGATCAAGTTAGAATATGTTCCGACCTCAGCAAGCAACCACGTACTTTGATTATGTAGCACCCTTCATTATTCTAAGGAGTTCTCATTATACAGGTGGGTTGAAGACACACTGTGTGTCAAAAGAACCAAAACCAAAACAAAATCCTATAAAATAGCAGGTCTTATAGTTTCCTTCTTTTTCCCATAGGAAGGAAGGGGAAAATCACAGAGTAAAACCAGATGCTTTTGTAAATTGATGAAGATGTTTGCTGCATGTGGCTCCAAGAGATTGAAATTAAAAGGGCAGGCTGGGTGCAGTGGCTCACGCCTGTAATCCCCACTTTGGGAGTCCGAGGCAGGTGGATCACGAGGTCAGGAGCTCGAGACCAGCCTGGCCAATATGGTAAAACCCCATCTCTACTAAAAATATTTAAAAAATTAGCCGGGCATGTTGGCAAGCACCTGTATTCCCAGCTACTCGGGAGGCTGAAGCAGAGAACTGCTTGAACCCGGGAGGCGGAGCTTGCAGAGAGCCGAGATCACGCCATTGCACTCCAGCCTGGGCAACAGAGCGAGACTCCATCTCAAAAAAAAAAACAAAAAACAAAACAAAACAAAAAAAAACAAAGAAAGAAAAAGAAATTAATAGAGCAGGGTGAGGGTGTCTTATGTCTGTAATCCCAGCACTTTGGATAGCCGAAGGAAGATGATTGCTTGAGCCCAAGAGTTTGAGAATAGCCTAGGTAACATAGACCCCATCTCTACAAAACATTTAAACAATTAGCTGGGCATGTTAGTACATGCCTGTTGTGCCAGCTACTAGGGAGGCTGAGGCAGGAGAATCATTTGAGCCCAGGAAGTCAAGGTTGCAGTGAGCCATGTTCGTGCCACTGTACCCCAGTAAGAACCTGAAGAAGAAAGAAAGAAAGAAAGAAAGAAAGAAAGAGAGAGAGAGAGAGAGAGAGAGAGAGAGAGAAAGAAAGAAAGAGAAAGGAAGAAAGAAAGAAAGAGAGAGAGAGAGAGAGAAAGAAAGAGACAGGAAGAAAGAAAGAAAGAAAGAAAGAAAGAAAGAAAGAAAGAAAGAAAGAAAGAAAGAAAGAAAGAAAGAAAGAAAGAAAAGGGAAGGGAAGGAGGAAGGAAGGAAGGAAAGAAGGAAGGAAGGAAAGAAGGAAGGAAGGAAAGAAGGAAGGAAGGGTCATGAAATGGGGATGCTCTTTAGCAGACAGTGGAGACAAGCACTTTCTAGATGTTTTGTCTGAATGGAGACAAAGTTCTCTCACATCTCATTATTTTAATCGTCACACTAGCTCCATGAGACAGGATTTATTATACCTATTTTACAGGTAAGAAAACTAAGATTCAAAAATGTTAGGTGACTTGTGCAAAGTTACACAGCTTAAGAGAGTCAGCACTGAGTCATATCCAGGTCCTTCAAATTCAAAGTTGTAGTCTTTCCAAAGAAAGGCAAATGAGTACAGAAATCACTACTTGTAAACTATTACAACTGAAACAGGGCAATTGAAGAATATCTTTACTCTAAAGACAAAGAAACTAAAGTCCAGAGACGCAAAATCATGTGCTCAGGGTCACACAACTTGTTAACGGCAAAGCCAAGTCTAGAATCTAGGATTCTTTCTACTACTCTTTGTTGACCCTTGAGGAATCTCCCGGGATAGTGTAAAAGCATGCTCCTCTTGTTGAGCATGAATGAAAAGCCTGAGATTCTTCTCCTGTTTTCTTGATTTGGATCTTTTGATAGACTCTGTGATTGGTGCTGGACATGACGTCTCTAAGGGAGCTAGCTTCTGCAAAACCAGCAAGCACCACTGATGGTGTCTCTGGCTTTATTGCTCCAGTTTCCGCTAAGAACCTTCGATCTTTCTTATATCTTTACCATGTCAATATGACTCTGACAGGAAGGCACTGAAAGCAACTACGTATTTCTGTTTTGAAATTTAGTTTTGTTCTATTTAAATTGTTCAGATGTAACGAAGGACCAATTGAAAATCATTACAACAGTACCATATGAGAAAGGAAAGTGTAAACCTTAGTAAGAATTATAAGAATACCTAAAATAGCCGGGCGCGGTGGCTCACGCCTGTAATCCCAGCACTTGGGGAGGCCGAGGCGGGCGGATCACGAAGTCAGGAGATCGAGACCATCCTGGTTAACATGGTGAAACCCCTTCTCTACTAAAAATACAAAAAAAATTAGCTGGGTGTGGTGGTGGGCGCCTGTAGTCCCAGCTACTCGGGAGGCTGAGGCAGGAGAATGGCGTGAACCCGGGAGGCAGAGCTTGCAGTGAGCCGAGATCACGCCACTGCACTCCAGCCTGGGTGAGAGTGCAAGACTCCGTCTCAAAAAAAAAAAAAAAAAAAAAAGAATACCTAAAATACTCTAAATTAATGTCTTTAAGAGCATTCCCATCTCTGAGAGAGGTCTGCATCGTATTTTAGTGCTAGCACACAGCCACAGTTTGCATAGCGTTTAAGCGCAAAGGCAGTGGAGTTAAATACCCAGATAACAATTCTCATCCTGCTGTTTATTTGGCAAGTTTCTTCAGTTCCCCAATCCTCAATTTCTTATCTATTAAGTAGAGGCTAATAAGACCTATAATAGAGGCTGCTAGTTTCCTTTCCAATAACCATTCTCCCCTCCTTCTTTGCTGACAGAACCCTAATTTTATTTGGGATGGCAATTTGGCCAGTACATTTCTAGCCCTCCTTTGCAACCCTGGATAGCAAATGTGGTGTTAAGTGGAAGTCACCATATTGGGATTCCAAAATTTTTCTAGGCTGGATATGGTAGCTCAAACTTGTAATCCCAGCACTATGGGAGGCCAAGTTGAGAGAATCACTTAAGTCCAGGAGTTCGAGACAAGTCTGGGCAACATAGGGAGACCCTGTCTCTACAAATAATTTAAAAATTAGTTGAGTGTGGTGGTGCGTGCCTGTGATCCCAGCTTCTCAGGAGGCTGAGGCAGGGGGATCACCTGAGCCCAGGAGGTTGAGGCTGCAGTGAGCTGCTGTTTCCCTAATTTTCTTTCTTCCTGTTCTAGAGCTCGAATATGGTAGCTGGAACTCCAGCAGCCATCTTGAATCATGAGGCTAGAAGTCCTGTACCAAGGGTGGTAGAAGAGAAAAGAAAGAAGGAACCCGGATCTGTGACAAACTAAAGTCACCTTACCCACCCTGGGCCACCCACATCTAGGTTACTTTTACATAAAAGAGAAGTAAATCTTTATCTTAATACACTTATTTTGATTTATCTGTAACAACAGGGTGTTTTTTTTTTGAGACGGAGTTTCACTCTTGTTGCCCAGGCTAGAGTGCAATGGCGTGATCTTGGCTCACCGCAATCTCCGCCTCCTGGGTTCAAGCAATTCTCCTGTCTCAGCCTCCCGAGTAGCTGGGATTACAGGCGCCTGCCACCAAGCCCAGCTAATTTTTTGTATTTTTAGTAGAGAAGGGGTTTCACCATGTTGGCCAGGCTGGTCTTGAACTCCTCACCTCAGGTGATCCGCCCACCTTGGCATCCCAAAGTGCTGGGATTACAGGCATGAGCCACCGCTCCTGGCCTGCCCTGTGGTCCTATTTTACACAGTCATTTGGTTCAACTGAATATCATTTTTTAAAGCCACATTGAAATCAAAGTGTTTTCCCAGGCTCTTAGAGTGCCCGGGTCAAGAATGCTGACAATCTGCTGTCAGAGAGAGAGGCTGTCCGCGTTACCCCCTATCAGCCCTCCCAGTCATCACTTGCATAAGAACCAGCAGGCAATCCACTGCCTTGTGACAAGCACTGTGACTCCAGGAGGGAGCCAAGTGCTATGAATGAAACCCCGTAAAAGGTCACTTTATGTAAGAGGAAATGTTGGCATCACCCAGAGCACATACACAATTTTGAATTAAAAGCCGGATTGCTGGATGCAGAAGTACATCTACTTATTAAAGATCCTGCTCCTTTTTTCTCCCTATCCTTTCATGAAAAGTTATTACAAACTCTAAAATCTTCTCCAAGTTAAATCCTTAAGTAAAAGAAGCACACAAGAAAACATTGTGTGGTTTGAAGTTCTTAATATCCTAGGTAGGTCAAAAACTGTTATTTATGGTTTAATTTGGAGCTATGTGAATTGCATTCACCTAGTTGCCCAGAAGGGCAGCAACAAATTTTTATCACTCCACGTATTAGGATCTCACCAGTGCCCATAGATCCACTACCCTCAACCAACCTTTTCAGAAAATATTTCTCCCAACACCTACACAGGCTACAAATCTAGGCAGCTACCTCCTCAAGTAACTGTATAAACATTCAAATCACTTCAACATTTTTCAACTCCACAGGTAATTTCAAGACCTGAGGGTGACTAGCAACAGGAAACATTCCACAAATATTTTAGGAGTCATAAGATAAAATCAATTTCAAATGGCTTTTTTAAAAGAATATATTCTAACAACCACATTTTAAAATAAGTCCATTTCAAAATATACTTCTGGAGGAGAAGGAGAGAGAAGAGGGAAAAAAAAGAAAAAAGAAAATGTGTGTGT
Organism: Homo sapiens; assembly: GCF_000001405.40. Classification (NCBI taxonomy): domain Eukaryota; kingdom Metazoa; phylum Chordata; class Mammalia; order Primates; family Hominidae; genus Homo; species Homo sapiens. Next base: position 76,019,108 of record NC_000012.12, read on the forward strand.
GTGTATATATATATGCGTGTGTGTGTGTGTGTGTGTGTGTGTGTGTATTTCTGCAGTATTTCTGCAGGTAGGAGAGAGATTATTGCCTAACATTTTATAAAAAGCAATATATATATTTATACATATATATATATATATTTGTACACACACACACAGACACACACACACACTCTGGTTTCTTTTGTGAATTTGCCTGTTTCCTGAAGTTTTGTTAATCCATGTGGATTATATTTGAAAAGGGTAAAACATGATTAACTTTTTTTTTTTTTTTTTTTGAGACAAGGTCTCACTCTGTTTTCCAGGCTGGAGTGCAGTGGTGCAATTAGAGCTCACTGTGTCCTCGAACTCCTGGACTCAAGTGGTCTTCCTGCCTCAGAGTCCCAGGTAGCTGGGACCATAGGTGTGTGCCATCACATCAGGCTGTGTTTTTTATTTTTTGTAGAGGCGGGTTCTCACTTTGTTGCCCAGGCTGGTCTTGAACTCTGACCTCAAGTGATCCTCCTGCCTCTGTCTCCCAAAGGGCTGATATTACGGGCATGAGCCACTGAGCCTGGCCATGATTCCATTTTTAAAACTATGGAATTAAACAGTTTACTTTCCATCTCAGTTTATACTTTTTGGGGAAAAGATGTGATGAATCTTTTCATCTAAATGCTGAAAAGACTATAAATGATGTCTGAATGCTTCGAGTGATTATTTGCAAGAATAACAACACCTTGGATTTATGGAAATTGTCTTTCAGGCTTTACAAAGCAGTGGTGCAGTATTGAAAGAGCATTAATTAAGAATCATGGAAACTGGAATTTGGTTCTAATCATGTCTTTAACTTTAACTGCCGGTGTGACCTTGGGTGGCTAACTGACACCTCCTCACATCATTTTTTTTTTCACTGTAAAATGGGGAAGGATGGATGCTACATCATCTAAACTTCCAAAATGCCATGATCAACTCTGATTTCAAACTCAGTATTTCTGCAGGTAGGAGAGAGATTATTGCCTAACATTTGTTAGAAAGCAAACTCAAACCAGGGTCCACCAGCTGTTAAGACAGCCATGAAGCTCAGGTCTTCCGGCAGCTACCTGGCACGACTTACAGGCATCAGGGATTTCATGTGAACCCCTGGCAATAATTACAATTATTCCGTAGTGAGCCAGCACATTGTGGCAAGGATTAAATGCTTTCTCACGCCTGCAAATGCAACCCATATACAAATGCAATCCACCTGAGGAGTCTCCTTTTCTGTCAGAAACTAAAAAAGTAAGTCACTGAATTGTTCTCCCACTGAGACCACAGTCATCCCCTCCAGCGGTGGTGTTGAAATGTGGCAACAGGAAGTTACAAAGGGACCTGGCACCACCACAGACCACTGCTTTGTCATAGGTGTTCGGGCAGGATAGGCCTCACCCTCAAAGCAGGACGCTCAAAGCTCTAAGGAAGCCACTCTGCCCAGGGCTGCTTCAAACACTTAGAGATCAGGTTCTGCACCAAAAAACTGACAAGCCCGCCTTCATATGCCATGAAAAGTTACTAGCAAGAAGAGTAAAAACAGTAATTATAATACACACACACATACACGCACACAATGTATATATTTGGGGGTTCCTTGGAAGGATCATTAAAGGCAGGTGTTTACCAACTACAGCCAACGAACTACAGCCAAGCTTTGTAGAAATGAACATTTCTTTAACAACTAAAAACCAAAAAAAAGAACTGTTACAAGTTTGGCTTCTTTGGCTGTGATTAGTCACAAAGCTGGTCTGCAGTTTTGAGGTCATGAGTCAGCTCTGACGGGGTAAGCCACACTACTGGTTACAATTTGCTATGGCAAAGTTCAAAATACTCGCAAAATAAGTCAACTGTATGAACTATCAGCTTCTGGAGAAAGCCAGTGGAGGATAGTAACATAATTAAAACTTTGAAACTCCCCAAGGGTCATTTCCTGTTTCTTTCTCCCCAGTACTTGAATACTCATTTATCAGTTGCTTTGGAAGCACAGGATGTCTGGTCTTAAAACACGGCAGTACGTGTTTGCTCACTCCATTATAAACGACTTTGGCAGTCCTTAAGAGTATACAACATAACCGCATTGACTATTTTTTCAAGTTTTCATTTCCGGAGCCTGACTAAATATCAAATGCTTCAGGTGAATGCTCTGGCAAAAAGCAAGCCGTTCTCACATCGACTCTATCTCAGAAGCAGCTAATTCTGACTCTGTGTCTGGGAGTAACGAAGGGGACCTCTTTATCCCTAGGTCCTGACAATCCCTTCAAGATAAAATAAGATTCTGAATAATCCTCAAACCAATTAAATTTGCCTATAGCGACAGTCTATCCCAGATCATCTAAATTTCCACAGTGTTGTGGCCTCCACTGGTGCCATCTTTGATAAACAGACTTACTTTGTAGGCAAGTAAGGCTAGAGCTCTAGAACACTCGCACCATGACGTTTATTTGATTATGGCCTTTCTATGTAGCTGGTGAGGGCTTCCCACCAGGTCTTTGAGAAAAAAAGCAAGTAAGGATATTTTGCTGAATAAATTCGTATGGCCAATGAGTTCAGTATTCAAGTTTTCCTCTGTCAATAATTCTGGATAGTTGGAATGTCGTGTTGACATGATTCCTTCTACTTTAACATAAGTATAAATTTGGGTCAAATTTTACAAAAAACTAGGAATTTCTTGATACCTTTTTTTTTTAAGTTACAGTAACATCCTATTTCCTTTTCTTTTTTAAAATTTTTATTTCTCTTTTTTTTAATAAGCCTTTGTCAGAATCTTAAAAAAAAAATAGAGATGGGCTTCTTGCTATGCTGCCCAGGCTGGTCTTGAACTCCTGGCCTCAAGTGATCCTCTTGCCTTGGCCTCCCAAAGTGCTGGGATTACAGTCATGAGCCACCATGCCCAGCCCATCCTAGTTCTTAAAACCAGATTATTTGGATTGAAATATACATATGTATATGAATATATAATATCTAATTCCTCTTAAAATGGAATCCAGATAATAATGTTTGCATTTTCATGATGCTCTACTGTAAGTAAAGTGGCTAAGTGGTGCCTCTGGGACTTGAACTCATGCAGATTTTACTGCCACTTCATAGTATGTTCATAATAGCTTCTCTCAGGCAGGGCTATTATTCCCACTTACAAATGAGCAGACTAAGGCTCATAGAGATTTAATGAGCTGCTAATGTCAGAAGACTAAGAGTCAGAACTAGAATCCCAGTTCATGCTTTTTATTCAATATAATCTATGCATGATGATGTTTATTGCAGCTGTACTGTTAACAGCATAACAACAGAAAATCACCAGATGGCAATAGGCAAATAAGTGAAATAATACACCAACTAAATGGCATATTATGCTGTCATTAACATTATGACTTTAAACAATAATAATAAGGATGATAGCTACCACTTATTGAATGCTTACTTTGCGACAGGAACAGCCACAGTCCTTTATGTGAACTAATTTTGGTTTCACAACTCCATGAGACAGGTACTATCATTGTCTGCATTGCACACGCTGAAAACTGAGGCTAAAATAAATTAAATTACTTGCCCAGAGCAACTCAGCTAATAAGAATGAGACTATCTGATTCCAAAGCAGGGTTTCTCAACCTTGGTATGATTGACGTTTTGGGTGGGGTACTTCTTTGTTGTAGGTGGGGCTCTCCTGTGCATAGTAGAATATGTAGCAGCATCCTTGGCCTCTACTCACCACTTGTGATAACCAAAAATGTCTCCAAATGTTGCTAAATGTCTTCTGGGGTACAAAATTGCTCTAGGTTGAGAGCCACTACCCTAAAGCCTATGCTTCACCATTATGCTGTTTACTCCCCTCCCAACACCACCAGCCTTCCTACAGAACCTGGTGGTGGGAACATACATATACTCACATACAGAAACAGATATGGTCATAGATAGGATTGCCTGAGATACAGGTTCTGAGACTCTGAGATTTGACGGCAGGAGGTTAAGGGGAGAGCGAGGGTTCCCACCCCAAGTAGTGTTTTTGGGAACCTCACCTGTAAGGAAGCAAGGGAAACAGAATTGAGCAGAGTGAGAGTTGGACTACAATGCCCACTGGTTGTGATAGGCCTCTGCCAATTCCACAGGCAGCTCTGCAGCTGGGATGATCCTTTACCGTTGGCCTGGCCTTCATCTACTCCCCATAGACCCATCACAGGATGCAGGTTACCCCCAAGGAGGGGGTGTGTTCTAGGACAAGGTGGGTCCTCAGGGAAAGGACTTGCTGAGAACATGATAGCCACCAACACTTCCACATATGGTGACTGAATGCCCTCTCTGTCCTGAAGTGGCAATCTGGGCAGAACACCACACCCACATATGGACTATTTTGATAGAATAATTTATAAATAACTTAAAATACATGAGCATGTGGACCAAGACTGGAAAGTAATAAGCAAATGAAAATTGTCATTAAAATGGTAGTGCTTGCAGGCATGGTGGCTGATCCCTGTAATCCTGGGACTTTGGGAGGCTAAGGTGGGAGGATGCTTGAGCCCAGGAGTTCCAGGCTGCAGTGAGCTATGATCACACCAATGAACTCCAGTCTGGGCAACAGAGCAAGACCATGTCTCTAAAAAATAATAAAAATTGGCCAGGTGCGGTGGTTCATGCTTGTAATCCCAGCACTTTGGGAGGCTGAGGCAGGCAGATCACCTGAGGTCGGGAGTTCGAGACCAGCCTGGCCAACATGCTGAAACCCCGTCTCTACTAAAAATACAAAAATACAGGCGTGGTGGTGTGGGCCTGTAATCCCAGCTACTCGGGAAGCTGAAGCAGGAGAATAGCTTGAACCCAGGAGGCGGAGGTTGCAGTGAGTCGAGATTGTGCCACCGCATCTCAGAGTCTGGGCGACAGAGTAAAACTCCGTCTCCAAAGAAATAATGATAATAATAAAATTGTAAATAGTATTTCTATAATGTATTTTTCTCTTTTTTCAAAGTTGAATACAAGGATGTGGTCAACTATACTGTTCTTACCGTTGAAAAAGAAGTGCTGAGGCCAGGCATGGTGGCTCACACCTGTAATCCCAGCACTTTGGGATGCCGAGGCAGCTGGATCACTTGTGGTCAAGAGTTCAAGACCAGATTGGGCGACATGATGAAACCCCGTCTCTACTACAAATACGAAAATTAGCCATTGTGGTGGCACACGCCTGTAATCCCAGCTACTCAGGAGGCTGATGTGGGAGAACTGAACCCTGGAGGTGGAGATTGCAGTGAGCCAAGATGGCGCTACTGTGCTCCAGCCTGGGCAACAAAGCAACACTATGTTTTAAATAAATAAATAAGTGCTGAGATCTCAGAAAATACAATGCCTAGCTTCAGAATACCATATATTATATATTCATATGGCTATAATGATTCCCCACCTGTTTATCTGTCCTAATGCAAGGAGCTTCCTTTCATAGTGATGCCAGGCACTGCTCTAAGTAATTTTATGTATCCTAACTTATTAAATCTCCTCAACCACCCTAAAATAAGTACCTTTATAAACTCCATTTTACAGAAAAGGAAACAACTGAGTTTCCAAGAGTTTAAGTAATTCAAGATCTACACAGCTAATAATTGTGAAACTGGGACTTGAACCCGTGTACTATGACTCTCAAATCCTGGCTCTTACCAATCCTGGGCTACCACCTACTACACACATTTATTTCACACCGTGTCCCTGAAGTCCCCTCAGCATGATAGTAATTTGTCTTCTCACATTTTTTCTTTAAAAAAAAAAACAAAACAAAAAAACTAGAGTAGTAAAGCTGTCAATGCATGACTATGCTAAGGCATAAGGGATACAAAAAAATGCCTTCAAGTTTCCTATTTTAAAGTCTTTTGAGATTTAAAGGCTTTTAGATGCCAGTGGAGATTGTAAGAATAAAGTTATGCTATTTTTCTTTAAAGAATCAAGTCCCTCTTCTGCTTTCAACACAAAATAGGAAGGTCTATGAATACCGTTTGAAGGATGACTCAGAGACAAAGCTTTACCCTCCCAAGAGACATAAGAGAACTAGACTACCTCTGGGACTCAAGAGGGTATTGCTGTTGAGCTGATTCACTAGGAACTGTTTCTGGTCCTCTGGGAAACTATGGAAAATTCAATTAAAGTTCATTAGCATTCTGAAAGCTAATTTTTTCACCAACATACCTGAGCGAATTTTCATATTCCAAATTCCCAGTGAATTTTTTAAAAGATGAATTCCCAACCTCAAAAATGGTCTTTTTTTTTCCCAGAATGCCCAAGCAATTCAGAATCTCTGTTTCACAGGAACACACAATGCATGTGCCAGTTGAACAAGGCCTTCAAAAGGTCCACAGGTCGGTTGTCTCAATAGATAACTTTATTTGAAATGAAATGCATTTTGAAAATATGAAAAATAAATCACATCTCCCCAAAATCATCTAAGAGACATATTTACACAAGTTCTGACCATGCTAAAAAATTCATGAATGTGATGGTGTATAAAGCATTTGGTACATGATGATACTTGCTTTCCAGAAGCTGGCATTTGCATATTATAAAACGTTAAGAAGAAGGCTGACCTCGGAATGTAACAGACAATAGTTTTATGTTTCTTCTCAATATACAGTGACCTGGAAGGACTCCCTGTTGTTAAAACCTGCTTCCCCACTGCTCAGCCTGCCATCAGCCATCCAGCTGCAGAGCAGTGGAGAGTAGGTCTCACCAGTTTTTGTGCAGATGCTTCTAACCCAGAGTCCTTCTGCTTACTTCATTGGACAATATTGCCCTTTCTAAGAAAACCCTTTTAGATCCTGTACTCCACTTAGCAAATGCCCTGCCAGCAAAGTCACAGATGACTTTTTTACCCAATCTTAGGTAAATCTGGATTATCTGCCCAACCGTGCAAGTCAATAAGCCACCCTTGAAAACTGTGTCAAGATTTGAGGAAACAGGTCTTAAGAACCTATCCAACACATGATTCCATAACCAATACATCTTAGGTTGTTTTAGGCAAATAGGTGTATCTCTTGAATCACTGATGGATTCAATATCAAGATCTATAATTTTCACGTTTAAAATTTACTCTGCCGAGGACATTTTATTGGTAAAGCAAAAACCAGTTAGTTTGACACACACGAAAAAGAAAACAAATGTTCACAGTCCTATCTTCGTAGGATTCTGTGCTATAAAATTGCTCCAGGTTCAAGTCTTAGACCACTCTTCTAAGGCTGCTACTGAATATAATATTAACACTGGAGCCAAGCTAAAACTACATGACTTTTCCCCTAGGGACAGAAAACAAGGGATGTGTTTGAACTCATACACTTGCAGCAAACTTTACTGTCAGATATAAAATTAGGGCTTTCTCTTAAAGGGCTTCTTTAAGAGAAATACAGAGTGTTTGGTATATGAGAGAAAAAAAGTTAAAACAGGACTTTCAACTTAATCCAGACTTCCTAACAGTGTTTACATGTGAGGGAAACTCCTTTAAGTAATGCGTAGTTTTTATTTTTACCATCATTGGAGACAAAAAAAACAAAAACATAAACATCTGAAGTGAAATTATAAAGATGGCTTGATTTCTACATTAGAGAATCCCAGCTTGCTCAATGAGGAAAATGTTCATTTTAAAAGGGCCCCTTATAGACATTTGCTCTTTGACGTCAGCACTCCCCATAGAGCACACCCAGATCTAAATGGATTTCCACTAAGAAAGTCTGTTTAAGAAACTTCATCATGATGTTTAGCCTGTCCCAGAATTCATTGTTCTCAGGGAATGACATGAGAGCAAAGAAAAGGAACACTCAGTGAGGCAAGAGACAGCATCTCCCAGATGCTGGGAAGTTACACATTTTGTCCTTCCTTCCTTTGTCCCAACAGTTATTGAGCTCACTGTGTATGAGGCTTGGTGCCAACACAAGTTCAAGGACAAAAGTTCAGTTTCCAGATGGAACATTACTCTTAATTTTCCAACTTTTTACATTTTATGTTTATTTAAGGAGCGGGTCTTCTATTGGATCTGCCCTTTCGGTTGAAAAATGCATTTTTTACCTTTTTCCATGAAGCTGATTTGTCAGGCTTCAAAATATCTTAGGTGGTTTTGTATCATTTTCTTACAGGTAGAATAGAGCCACTGGGACATTAAATGATGTACATTTATATTTTGTTTTGTTTAGTCTTATTGAGCGTGTTTGCTTTTTTGCTCTGGAAAAATTATTAATAATAATTTCAAAGGTGTCAAAACAATAAAAGCCATTCTACTTCTAATTTCTTAGATTTCACATTAAATGCTAAGAGGGGTTCAGAATAGAAAATGATAAAGGTCAACATAAATATCACAGCAGACTAAGGAACAAGGGCTACAGAAAGTCAAGAAACCATTATTCTGGGGCCGGGTGTGGTGGCTCACACCTGTAATCCTAGCACTTTGGGAGGCCAAGGCAGGTGGATCACCTGAGGTCAGGAGTTCGAGAACAGCCTGACCACTATGGTGAAACCCCATCTCTACTAAAAATACAAAAATCAGCCGGGCGTGGTGGCATTCACCTGTAGTCCCAGCTACTCAGGAGGCTGAGACAGGAGAATGGCGTGAACCCAGGAGGCAGAGGTTGCAGTGAGCCGAGATCGTGCCACTGCACTCCAGCCTGGGTCACAGGGCGAGACTCCATCTCAAAAAAAAAAAAAAAAAAAGAAACCATGATTCCGGTGGCCCTATTAAGAACCATGGCCACCACGGGCGAAGAAAAAGAAATCCAGCCACCAAGAGGGAGCCTAGGCGCATCTTTTTAAGCAATGAAATTACCTAGCCCCATATGTAAGCTAACAACATACAAATGCCTTTTTTAAAACCTACATCAATCTTAATTTGTAAAAATATTTGGTATGGATTTTTTTTTTTTAGTACAAGAATTAAAAAAAAATCCTCCATTGGGAAAAAACTGTGGTTCATTTGGAGCTATTATGATTTGCATGCATTAAAAATATAGTACTATGAGGTACTCCTCAAAAAGTACAGCCACAGTTCTAAGGAAGCTGAACCAAACTTGATTTAAGAAATCTTTAGATGTGGCTCTCATTTCATATACATATATACATACATACACATATATACATATTCATATATGTGTACACACATGTTCTCATATATGTATATATACATACATATTCATATATGTGTATACATATATACATATGAAACAAGTTTTTAAATGTTGGCAGCATATTTTCACAACTGCAACCTAAACAACCACTGGAAGTGGGGGTCCACTTAAGTTTTGTTTGCCATTAGCTTAATAGGGGAAAGCTATTTTAATTTTCCCTGCAACTTTTTGGATATGAGTTATGATCTCAAAATGTCATTTAACTATTGCACTAAAAAGTAATTTGACCTTGGAACTCCTTTCTAGATGGAAGGAGAATAAAGACATCTGTAGCATGTAATTCTATTTTTATTTCTTGACTACATAACCTAGCAGTGGTCTAATACTGACCGTTTCAATTTAAATGCTGGAAAAATACTGACCAAGACTTTCTGTGAAAAAGATAATGGAAAACAGAAACCAGTTAGTAAAGCCATGCAAATAGGAAGTGATTTTCAGCCCCAAGAGGACTTTGTATCATCTATGGCTCCATTTAAACCCAAGTAGCATCTGTCCTGGTGGATTTTGAACATCCTTTTGATTTAACACAGAAGAAGGTTTGTTCTACCTTTAAAAGCATATCCTCTTTTTTCCCCCAACAGACTCCTCAACAAGTGGCTTCTAAGACAAGACTGGGGTTGTTTTCTTACTGAAAATCCTGTGTTTATCCAGTCTTTTCCTTTTCAATTTCTGAGTTTAGCTTACCTAACAGCAAAACAGAATCCTCAAATTTCTCACAGAGCAATGAAAAGCAAAACAGTTGGTTTCTCTGATCAACATCATTTTCAGTATGAAAACAAAAGTTATGACTCCTAGACCTTTGAAATATTTACAAATTGTACTTTAAACAACGAGATTTTTCAGTGTGCTTCTAAAACAAAGTAAAGGGATCAGAAAATGTGGTTCAAGTCAAGTGTGCAAAGCTCTCGAAGAAAGGTCCTGCAGCCTGGACAGGAGTACAAATATTCTCTTATACAAGTTAAATGTACTCTTTTCCTCCACAACATTTTTGAAATGAAACAGCAAATGCATTTATACTCACAAATCAGTCAAAAGGCCTCTTCTCCTTATTAAGCCCTTTACACACAGATGATAAAAGCAAGGTTTTCCTACAATAGATGTGGCCCTACCACATATTCAAGATACAATCATCCTACCATCAGTTAGGTTATGCTTTAAATATTTTGAAATCAGGTATCCTTAACTACTGATTTCCTTTTAGAAACTATCTTGAGTGTTAGATTTTCATAATTACACCATTTTTAACTTTTAGCTTTTTAAACTTCTAGACAAACTATATGTTTAAGCAAAAACAAAAATAAAAATCCTCAAAAAAAGTAATATCAGAGTTTTAATTTCAACCAGCTGGCACAACAATGAAAGTGTCAGACTTTCTGAAAGTACTCGAGAAATAATGAATAAATTCTTAATGTTTTCCCCTCCACCGCCCTTTTTTATTCTCCAAGATTAGGAATTACTACGGATTAGGTTTTTGAAAATAAAGTTTCCTTTTTGGAAAATGGTCTACATTCAGAAATGTCTTAGAACAAGCATTTAAAAAAAAACTAATAAATAATCATAAATCAAAATACATTAAAATAAAATTACAGTACATCATCGCTCCTAGAAAATTCACCATACAAGACGATCCTTTCAAAGGTTCATAAATAAAAGTCTTCTTGACTCGAAATCGTTTCCTGCATCGTGATGAAAAGTATGCAGAAAACTAAGAAGAATCGCAAGTTTTCAGTAGGGTGATGTCCAAACTACTTGATCTGGTGCGGGGCGGAGAGACTGTTTTGCTTTTGATCCAAGTGAAGACAATAGAAATGTGCTCGTCCCACTTCCTCAAGTCCTCAAAACCTGGAAAGAAATGACACCGAGTGAAGTAGGTGGCTAAGAACCCTCCGAGACCAGTTCTGTTCGGGCCAGTCCGCCTGACAAAGCGGGCTCAGAAAGACACCGTGGTGTTTCCCTCAACTGCCCAAACATATAGTCAAGTGGGGCTGGGGGACGCACCACGGGACAAGGACGGTCGTGATGGGCGCGGGCGCGGGCGCGGTCCGCGAGGCCCCCTGCCTGGCCCGGATCTCCCCAGCCTCCCCTCTCTGCCCAGCTCTCCTGGCCCCAGCTTGTTTCTGTTTCTTCCATTGCCCCAGAAACTTGGTATGAGTTTTGATTTCTCCATACAGGAGCCGAACCTGTGAACAAGCTTCCTACTCCTCCCAACTCACTACCCCCGAGACCCACTCCTCGGGAGCGCGAGTGCCGGGACCTTACCTTGTCTTGCCCGGGAGCTGCCCCTTTCAGGCAGAGTTGGAGGTGCTGCGGAGAAGCCGGTGCCCGTGCGGCTGCGAGTGCGGCTGTGGGTGTGGGTGCGGTATTTGGTGCGGATGCGGGTGCGGGTGAGGGTGTGGGTGCGAGTGAGGATGAGAGTGTGGATGTGGATGTGGATGCGGATACGGGTGGAGCTGCTGGGGCTGAGGCTTGGGTTGGGGCTGAGGCTGGGGTTGTGATTGGGGCTGGGGTTGCGGCTGAGGCTGAGGCTGGGGTTGGGGCTGGAGCTGCGGCTGCGGCTGCGGCTGCGAGGGGGGCTGCTGCTGGACCAGGTGCTGCTGCTTCTGCCGCGTGGATTTGACCGCCAGGATGGCCTGACGATTCTTGTACTGCACCATCTGCAGCGTGATCTCGGCGTTCCAGCCCTGGTCTTGCGGGCACCGAAAGTCGATCTCCTTGCCCTCTGCCATCACCACAGTGAAGTACATGTACTTGCCCTTGCGCTCCACACAGTCCACGGTCTTCATGTTGGAGAAGTGCAGTTCCTTGAGCTTGACCGGCGGCTCGAGGCTGGCGACAGCGGGGCCACTGGGTTGGGACGGCTCGGCCGGCCCCTGCCCGGGCTGTTGTTGCTGCTGCTGCTGCTGCTGTTGCTGCTGCTGCTGCTGGTGTTGCAGCTGCTTGGGCGGGATAAGCAGCAGCCCTTCCTCGGTGAGGATGCAACACTTTTTCTTCCAGAGCTGCAACAACCCGTCGCTGCGCTTCTCCAGCACGCCCTCCTTCAGCGCTTTGCAGCCGCTACTCTCCAGCATCCTCCCAGCATAAGAGGGGCCGCCGCTTGGCTCGGCCTCTCCGTTTCCAGCCGCGCGGGCCGGGGGCAGCAGCAGCAGCCTCGCGCCGTCCTCGCCCCAGCGGCTCCCACGGCCGCCTGCCCGGAGCGCGCAGAGGAGGCTAACACGCAGGAGGCAGAGCGGCGGCGGCGGCTCTGGGTCCCGGCAGAGGGACAGCCGCGTCCTGATGCGCCACAAGGTCCCGGAGCTCCGAGCTGCCGGGCCTCTGCCGTCCTCTTGCGAGCGCTCACTGAAGGGCACTGGCCGGGCCCCCTCGCGGCGCTTTTGAATGGGCCATCTTCCCCACCCCCGAGTGACACCCAGCGGAAAAGGCGGCTCCTGGCGCCCGCACCGCGGGGGAAAGCCCAGCTCCAAGAGGCGCTCGGCAGCCGGCGCACGCCTCATTAACTTGGGGCCTTTCCAAAGCCCGCTGCGTCCACGCCCTCCAGCGTCTCTTGCTCCGCCTCTCGCCGCCCACTTGCTTCCGCGCTCGTTCCCCTGGAAGGCGACCCGGACCCGAGCCCCGGAAACTCCTCTCCTCTACCCAGGGCGATCGCCCAAGGAGCCCTGGCTGCCTGACTACTGCCGACGCTCACAGGGCGCTGCGAGGCCATCCCCCGCGTCCCGCTTCTCCCCGGCCCGCGGGACTCTCTGCTAACAGCCTCAGAAAGTGAGGACGGGGGCGCGGAGGCGGGGGCAGCCTCCAGGCAGTGCTGCCTCTCGGTTCTTGGGAATTAGCCCGGGGGATTCGCGCTGGGCTCCGAGAGCCCGCAGAACCAGCGTCGTGTCCTGGGCGAGCTGGGAGGCCGGGGCCGAGTCCCGCGAGTCCCGCGAGTGTGCCTCCCCCGGACGCCTAGGTAAACAACTGAGCGCACAGAGGCCGAGAGGACATCGTGTCTTCCCACGCATATTCGCTCACGGTCACTAAGTAGCTCTTCTTGGAAAGAGGGCGATTGTTAAAGCAATAGTGCGACTGTCGGGCTTGCCACGGGTGGAGAGAGGCGGACCCACGTCAGGTCGCATCTCGCCTGCTTTTCTCGACCCCGACCGCAGGCGCTAACCCGTCTTCGGCTTTCTTCTTGACCCGTACGGTTTGCAACGTCTCTTAAAACAGTAACTCAACTCTCTACAAACCGGGGTAATATCCGGTGCTGAGATCCCACACTGCAAGGCGCAGTTCCAAACGTCTGGTCGGCCTCGCAGGTCCCTCTTTCCAAGGCCTAGCCAGATCTTGGTTTTGGAATCTCATTTATCTGTGACCTGGGGAATGCAATACCCCCAGCTCCCTCCTACTCCTACATTTAAACAATGCCTATAGAAGCCGCTTCCTGGGAAGTAAGGCATAACCGAGACCTAGCCTCCCGGTAGGGAAGTTCATCCGTTTAGTAAACAGCCCCAACTACGTGCGGACCCTCACGGGGATACGAAGAATTCAACCAGGGCTGGACAAGTCAGAGTGGGCCAAGGTAAGAGTTACGGCTGCTACTGTGCCCACGTTGGAACAGATAGATTAGTTCATCTGCTAGTTGTGTGGCAAGAGCAAAGAATTCAAGAGGGGAAGAGAAAGTGAGAGGAGCTTAGAGAGCTAAGCAAGAATCGAATCCTTTGTGTGTCATGGTAAGAAATTCGAACTTAATACCAAGGTAGTCAGAACAAAGGACAACTTTTATACACGAGGGCGTCCTGAATATTCATCTAAGAAACAATGTCTGATCAAACGGGACAATCCAGCCAGCAATCCTGAGTCCCACCGGATTATGCTTGGCCAGCTTTCTAGCCTTCACATTGTTAATTTATTAGCAATCTTTTCAGGAGAAAGGCAATTATTAAAATTATGTGGACTTCTAGTAAAATTATCTCGAAGATTTACAATTATGTATACCAATAACAAAAAAACTACATGTTTTCTGCTCCCCTGCCTTTGTAGGACAAGTGAGCATTCCAGAGAATTTCTACATGACCAGCTGTTCATTCTTTTAAGAGGATGACATTCTTCAGCTCATCTGGAAAGGATACTTCCTTTAAGTCTGTTATTCACAGTCTCCAAGGGCAGGTGTAGTTGGGAAAGACATTTCATATGGAAAAACAAACTTGATAGGGTAAAAAAAAAAAAAATGAGATGTAATCTGGAGGCCCAAGTCATTTTCTTAGGAGAAACTCAAATGTGTTTGGTGTTATCTAACCTTCTGCAGTTTATCAGTCTGAAACAAATGCATTCTATTCTCATTTGAAAATGTCTGAACAGCCACCAATTTTCAAAATCACCCATTTAACTAGAGACTTTAAAGCCCAGAATTTGCAGTTACGTATTTCAGAATGATTTAGTAATTTTGTGAGCAGCTCAGAGGTTAAGTCTACAATGTCTGACTACGGTGCATTATTGAAAATATCAGTAGTGTAAGGATCCCGTAGATTGGTGATAACTTTGCTCTTGTTATTTCAACAGTTACCACCAACAGTTGGTGACTTAACAAATTAAGAGCATAGTTGCCATATGCTCATATTTGGCAAATATGTCAAAATGGCCATATTTGCCAATTTTTAAGACAATAAATTCACAGAAAATGCATTACAGAAAATAACTTAAAAAAAAAAAAAACAACTTTTGGGCCAGGCATGGTGGTTCACACCTGTAATACCAACACTCTAGGAGGCTGAGGTGAGAGGATCCCTTGAGCCCAGGAGTTTGAAACCAACCTGGGCTACATGGCAAGGCCTCCCTCTACAAATGTAAAAAAAAAATTAGCCAGGTGTGGTGGCATGCGCCATGTAGCCCCAGCTACTTGGGAGGCTGAGGTGGAGGACTGTTTGAGCCCAGAAGTTCAAGGTTGCAGGAGCTAGGATCGCACCACTATACAAGCCTGGGTGGCAGCAAGACCCTGTTTAAAAAAAAAAAAAAATTCAGCTGTATATGCAATGAAAACCTACAAGTCACTGAAAAGTTACTGAAGTTTAGAAAACTAGCCAACAAAATCATTGCTTTGGTAAACAAATTTGAAATGGCTAATTGAAAGTACATTTTACAGCTGGCAATATAAAGTTATCTATCAGCAGCACTGGACAGTTCATTTTCTTCTCTTGGATAAAGTTTATCACTTGGCTTCAAGGACATCACTCAGTTTTCCTTTACATCTCCAGTGTCTCCTCTATGAGGTGCTTTCTCTTCTCTCCAAACTTTTAATGTTGGAATGCCCCAAGTCTTTGTCTTTGGCTCTCTTCTTTATCTACACTCATTCCCTTGTTGATATCCAGTCTCATCACTTTTAATAACATCTATATGCCAGAGTCCCAAATTTATACCCCCAACTTATATCCAACTGCTTACTGCCGAAGAATAAAACACTGAAGTTAAAAAATAATAAACATACCAGGCAAGGGAACACTTACTAGTAAAGCCATTTACTGAGTAGTTCACTAAAGGTTTAAGTCTGAGGGGATTTTAGGTCATAGGAAAAAAAAAAAAAAACTGAAAAAGAACACTCGGATGGTCAGAGGAGTCTGTAATTCATACACAATAGGTTTTAACAAATTCCTACATGGAACTGCTCCAGTTTATAGGTTAGAATTAACTATAGTGAAAAACAGCCTTCAGTTTTTATCAATTCCAGGCCAGTGAGTGCTACTATAAGTTGAAAATTCTCCATTTACACTTCTCTACAGTACGGCTTGTGTAGTCTAAGAAATCAAACATGTGAATGAGCTCCCAAACTATTTTCCTCACTCTAACCTACTCTACCTGCAGCCCCCTTTCTCAGTTGACAGCAATCCTCTGTACAGATGCTCAAACTAAAAACCGTAGATCAGTACTGCCCTTACACCAGGCCAGGAAAGGCCCTTATCCAAGGCCCTGAGCTTTAGGATTGAGTGCTTTAGAGTCAAGATGACATGTCAATCTAGAGAGCATACTCATTCTGCACTACACTCTAGGTACTCAAGACCCCAAATACCCTGCCCAGAATAGCCCCAGCTGTTCCAGGAAATGCATTACATCATCATTGCATGCACTGATGTGTTAGGGGGATAGGGCAGTTCGAATATACTGGTTATGGCATCCAAGTAAATGTGCAGGAGGCCCCTTGCCATACAGTTCAGAGCCGGGGTGGGAAGAAAAGGAAGGTGGCTCATGGGCTGAGGGTCAGCTCTGCCCGCAAGTTATATTCTGGCATAAATACAAACCTGGCTTCCCAGTTCTAATGAAAGTTTGTCAAGACAGGCACATTGGGCATATTTTCATTAAACAGTACTTTTAAATATTTAAACATACGGTATCTCCATTGTACTCTTGCCCCAGGCCTTCAAGTGTGTAGAATCATGCCTGCCTTGTAGTAATTTTTTTCTCTCCCAATATTTAATCTACACATTTAGTCAGGAAATCCTACTGGTTAGGCCTTCAACTACATCTGGATTCTGTCCACTTCCTTCATTACCACCCTGATCCAAATCACCATCATATCCCCCCACTGGATTACTATGATGGCCTCCTAACTTGTCTCCCTGATTCTATCCTTGTTATCTATTTTCAGCATAGCACCCAAAGTTATCTCCATCACTTTCTTCAAGTCTTGGCTCAACAGGCCTATCCTGATCACTCTCAAATGGTAGCCACTCAATTCCCCTTAATTTTTCCCATAGCATATATTATCTTCTAACATGCTACTCAATAATTTATTGTACCTATTGCTTATTTCTGTTCCCCTTCCCACTAGAATAGTATGCAAGCTATTCAAGAGGGCAAGGACCATTGTTTCTGATGTGTCCCAATCACCTAGAAAAAGTCTTGATACCAAGTAGATGCTCAACATAGGTAGAAATCTTGAATTGAATTAGAAGTCCATACCCATCATAAAAAGAATATCAATTTTTTCAAATGCTTTTGACAGATTTTTCATGATGCATCCTACTTTTTAAAACTTGAGATGTAAGGACTTGAAATTTGCCCTACAAACATATCTCTGGTATACTTTTTAAATGGATAACTACATGCTAGGCCTCTCTGAATCTTAAATGCTTTTATAGTCAGACATCTAAAATAAATCCCACAAACCTTTTCCCAA
Organism: Homo sapiens; assembly: GCF_000001405.40. Taxonomy (NCBI): domain Eukaryota; kingdom Metazoa; phylum Chordata; class Mammalia; order Primates; family Hominidae; genus Homo; species Homo sapiens. The sequence goes on from NC_000012.12 coordinate 76,036,391, forward strand.
GCAACATGCAATTTAATATCATGAGAGGTGTTTATATAAACTAGTATCCTACTGTTTTCTAGTAAGAGTATTTAGAAGCATGAGAAACACAGTAATGGAACTGAGTTGGTAAGTTTCTTACTTGGCAGTTACATAGTCAAACACTTGACTAAAAGTCCATTAATCAATACTGGCTTAAAGACATGTAACAGAACTTGGAAAGTTATTAAGTGTTTAATTCATAATGATTACAAAATTCTGATCTGTAAACCAATTTGCAATATACAGTAGAAACTCATGACAATGATCATTATTAAAGATTTGGATAGACCAAAGGTCAAACATCTTTCAAGAAAAAGTTAAAGCCCAGTAAATTATGAACATGTCACGTTACCCTCATCAGGGTATAAAAGATAACCAAGGCTGGGCGCGGTGGCTCACGCCTGTAATCCCAACACTTTGGGAGGCTGAGGCAGGCGGATTGCCTGAGGTCAGGAGCTCGACACAAGTCTGGCCAACATGGTGAAACCCCGTCTCTACTAAAAATACAAAAAAAAAAAAAACCCACAGCGCCTGTAATCCCAGCTACTCGGGAGGCTGAGGCAGGAGAATTGCTTGAGCCAGGGAGGTGAAGGTTACAGTGAGCCAAGATCACGCCACTGCACTCCAGCCTGGGCAACAGAGCGAGAATCTGTCTCAAAATAAATAATTAAATAAATAAACAAATAGTCTCACAGAGTGCAGTTTAGACTTCTTAGCCTTATTTCATCTTTGAAGTACTATTCAGAAGAAATATTCTAGATTCTAGTTTCCAAAAGTCCTTGAGTTGAAAACGTTAAGTATTAACACAGAACTATCCAGACTTCTTAGGTGGGTGTCCAGAGCTGCCTTCCTTTTCGCCTTAGTAGTTGATGAACTGATGCCTCCTAGTGACCAATCTGTGTAACAGCTTAAAGCAAGTGCTTTATAATGAGTGCTTAGCGCTTTTTTTTAACTGTAGTACAAACACAATTGTGGATCCAAGCACCGTCCATCAGCTGTCTCCGTCCTTTCTGTTCTGCCAGCAGCCTAATTCAGTTCTCTCATCTAAGTTCTTGGGTGGCCCAATCACCTGATCCATACTCATACACATGGCCTTCAGTTTTACTCTTAAAACATGACAGAAAACTTCTATTCGCCTCCAATTGTATACATTCCAATTCCTTACCCTTGCATGACAAGCCCTCCACAGAATGGGTCCTACTTATTTTGACTCGTTCCACTCAACCTTGAGCGAGTGCCAGTCATACATCTCCTTGTCCTCGCAGCCTCCAATTTACCTTCCCAAATCCTCTGTAAACCTTTCATTCTTCAAAGCCCTATTCAAATCCCAGATTTCCTCTGGCTGAGTTAATTCCTTCCTAATCACTTCAAACTCTGATGAGTAGTTATCCAATTTTCACGTCTACTTCACTAAATATCCAAGATCCTGGATGAGTGTTTTCGCCATTGTACCTAACGGAGAGCTGATTGACAGCACTTAAACTGAGGGGAAATGACTAATGTTTTGTCTGGAAATGTATTGATATTATTCAAAATGGGCAAGCAGGCTATCTTATTGAGTATTAACAAGTAACCAGGAAGTCTGATTATTTGTAAACTTGTTATGGTAATATTAGCTTTGAAGTGACAAACGAAAATATGGAACTGGATGAAATGGAGCAGAGAGGAAGGTAATCCAATGAAGGAGGCTGAGAGAACCAGTATTATGTTGTCACAAAACTGCAATCACTCAAAAGTGTTGATATTCTGGCTCTGGGTCTCTGGGGTGACAAGATACCCCAGTAACTAAGAGTGGAAGCAATCCTCTGTCCCCACTGAAGAGCCCAAGAACACCTACCACCTTTCCTAAGTATGCTTCTACTCTGAAACCCGGTAAATGCAACCCGTTGTTTGCAACTCAAATATGTAACTGACAGTCACTTGGGCAAATACCTCCATTTAAGGAACTAAATTCCAAGGATATTTCCCTCTTTTGCTGTCATTTTTCCATTGCCACAAAACACACAGCCTGAGGACATAGGCTGTTCAATTTGATCACTATTGATCTCTGTAAGAAAAAAAAATCCAGTAATGGGCAAATACCTTTCTTAGGTGATAGAGGACATATAGCAGTGAGTGTAGACAATTCCTCCCAAAAACATGAGAATAAAGAAGGTGGTAGTGGTGTTACTTTAGAAGAACAACTCAGGCTTCAGAGAGGGTAAGTTTCATTACAGACAAGGTAATCTAAGAGTAAAAGGGATAAAAGAATTCTGTGGGGTAGCCAGACTCAGAAAGGTGGAATAACACTTTTACAAGAAGATAAAACCCAGGAAATGTTTATGGCAAGCTTGTATGTTGCCACTAAACCTACCAGAAAAAGAAATCCCATTAGAACCGCCCCCATCACAATAACTACCTAAGTAAATCATTGTTGAGTAACAATGAGCACCCCTTAAACATGTCAGAAACCAGAAAGTTTTTGTTTCTAATGAGATTTCATTTACACTTTTAAGTCATTGTCTCAACCTAATTTGTGCATGCATGGTTCTGAGAAAGGTTATCATGCAAAATGAAATAAAAAGCCTTGGGCAAAGCAGGACTCCAATCATAATTAATCCTTTTGGGCCGTATTTAAAGAAAATTACTTTTCTTAGCCCTGTTCACTTATTTCTAAAATGTAGTTATTTGCTTTATGTTCCAGGATATCCTTGATCAAATAATCCTTTTCTAAATCAACTTATTTCGACATATGTGGCCAATGTGGCTGTCATCCTAACCTCCCTTGGCATTCACACCCAGCTCTATTTTATTTACTATCCTACTTTTAGCACTGTGAGCATAAACCATAGGTTCTTCTTTTTACAGGAGAGGTTGGATGCCAGTAGCCTTTAGCCTCCTTCAGCCCATCCTGTACCTTGAACCTGGACATGATGTATAGAGCCCCAGCAACCACTTGATAATAAACCAACTTGCCAAAGACAAAAAGTAGAATGAAAGTCTGCCTGAGAACCATGAAGCTCCCATATCAGTCCCAGAGTCTGTCTAAGCCTAAGAGAAAAACCTATATAAGCCACATTGTATTGGGGCTGTGTTATACAACATTATAATAAATACAAACTCTTCAGGGCAGGGGAGAGAAAAAGGAAAGATTATCTGAATATTGTTTAAAATGAAATCTAGATTAACTCTGGTCTCTAAAATATTTCATCTCTGAAAGCTCTAGCCTAAAGAACATGCTTATTTAACCACTAGTTGTGTGACAGAAATATCTACAAGGCAGTGCAAAGTGTAGGGCCATCCAAATGCTGGCTCCAACACAACTCAACTGTGTCATTGTTAAAGTTACTTAACTTCCATCCTTATGCATAAAAAGGGAATTAATATTCTCAATCAAGTATGATTAAGGCATTATTTTTATTATCTTAATGTTAAACGAACACTTAGTTCTCCCCAAATTGCTGATTAATACTGTAAACTGAAATCCCACTAGTTTAAAACTATACATGGAATAGCAATGAAGTTTTTCTCGAAACCTCTCAGTCTAGTTACATTATACCCAACTTTTGAAAACACGTGTACTTAAGGGTCACCTTATACATACCACTTGAGGTTCCTTTACTAATCAAGCTTGACATTTTTGTCTGAGGGAGTTCACTACGTTATAGCTTGAATTATAGCTGGAAATCAATTGTCCAGCTATAATTCAAGTAAAAGATTCCAAAATGATGGGGAAAAGCATATGTTTTTCTCCCTGAACAGGCATACAATATGTAATTTAAGCTTTGATGTCTTTGGTCATTTTGGAAAACGACTGCAACAAACTAAGCCCAGTCAGAAAAATTTTGCTTGTTTTAAGCCATTAAGTTTTGGAGGTTGTTTTGTTATGCAGTACTAGGTAACTGCAACTATTGATATGCCTTCCCTTGACTTTAAAAAACAACTAAGTTGACTCTTGAATATCAAATTTGAACTAAGAGGGTCCACTTACAGGTTTACTTCTGTCTCTACTACCCCTGTGACAGCAAGACCCCCCTCCTCCTCAGCTATTCATGAAGGCAGTGAGGATTGAGACTGTTATAATCCAGTTCCACCTGAGAGTAAATATACATACACATACATATACATACACACACACACACACACAGACAGTTTCATTCTGTTGCTCAGGTTGGAGTGCAGTGGCACTATCTCGGCTCACTGCAACCTCCACCTCCCGAGTTCAGTCAATTCTTGTGGGCTCACTGCAACCTCCACCTCCAGAGTTCAATCAATTCTTGTGCCTCAGCCTCCTGAGTAGCTTGGACTACAGGCACACACCACTACCACCTACAGCTAAGTTTTGTATTTTTAGTAGAGGCAGGGTTTCTCCATATTAGCCAGGCTGGTCTCGAACTTGTAACCTCAAGTCACTGGCCCGCCTCAGCCTCCCAAAGTGTTGGGATTACAGGCATGAGCCACCACACCTGGCCATAATATATTTCCGATTGCTTAACATTTTCTCTAGCTTACTTTTTACAGTATATAATACACATAACATACAAAGTGTGTGTTAAATGACTTATTGGTAAAGTTTCCACAGTAGGCTGTCAAGTTTTGGGGGAATCAGCTTATACATAGATTTGACTGAAGGAAGCTGGGGCCCCTAGCCCCTGCATTATGAAAGAGCTAACTGTATACACAATCCAGCTTTGTTTCATTGGTTTTCTCAATCTACAGGAATATGACAACTACAAAAGACCTTAGAGACTGAACTACTGAGAATCAATCATTCGACTTGCTACACAGTCCCACACAGGATTATGGTTGGTACATTGAATGGGTCTAGATAAATCCTAACTGACCTATACATCCAAAACTTTTCTGTACACTTACCAAGTTCCAAGCACAGTGCTGGAAATTAGGAAACTCATTAATAAGCAAGTGTTTCTAGAGTATTTTGAACTGGTTCAAAACCAGTTCAGATTTATAGAACCAAAGAGTAGGTACTGATGAAAAGGAGATCCTATGTTGAACTAGTAAAACACATGCACAAAAGCCCAGTGGCAGAAGTAAAAGAAAAGGCAGCCAAGCAGAGCTGAAATAGTGCAAATGCAGGTTAAATACAGTGGGCTATTCATCTCCAAGTTGCCGTGAAGTGGCTAAGTCCACTCACCAAGCCAAATGAATAGCAAAGACAACAGTTCCAGCCTCCAGTTTTGAAATCCATAGTTAAGTGCGGCAGCTCCCACTTGTAAGCATAGCACCTCAGGAGGTTGAGGTGAGACAACCACTTGAGCCCAGGAGTTAGACACTAGTCCAGGCAACATAGTGAGAATCATCTCAAAGATAATAAAAATAAAACTTTGTTGACTGGCCTAATCCAAGTCTAAAATCACATCTGATCTCAAGACAGACACCCATGTCACATCCACACCAGTGTCAAGGCTCCAGGTAAATGTTGGGAGATAGAAGGGATAACCTGAATAATGACAATTTGGGTATTCTGAAGCATGAGAAATCCAAATATATAGCGATACCTCATTTCGTTTTACCCTAGATCATTTCTGGGTTCTGCCAAAGGCCAAAGAAAGTAAACAGCATATGAAAACACATGTATTAAAATAAAACAAGAAAGGAATGAGATGAGATTTTCAAACCTAGCTCACTTTAGGTTAAGGTCAATTTTTTTTTTGTTTTTTACACATAAAATCTTCAAAACGAGGCATATGTTTAATTTTATTATCCAGTCTTAGTCTCAGTGTTCTTATGTACACTGAGTAATGCATCCCTTACACCTAGGAGGAATTTTGCCTTTGAACCAAGAAAACCCCAACTAGTTCAGAAATAAAGTTCTAAAACCAATTTAAAAAGTAATCCCAATCACAAATTTTAGGTTTTCTTATGTTTAGGAAGTGCTCATAGGCTCTAAGTACTTTTGTTTCCTTATTAATGTTCACCACGATCTTTCGCAATACAGATGAAAAGACTGATGCTGAACCAACAGGTGGTAGACAGACTCTAAAGCCTGTGTTTAAAGACACTACCCAAAGACACTACTTGTATTCTCACACATATCCATTAAAATTTGGTAGCAGAGACATTTGTTTAGGGGCTGAAAAGTTTTAGTCTAAAATTAGATCTCCATTTTTATTCATGGATTCTTATTCCTATAGAGCAACCTCATCTACTTTCCTAGTTGGATCAACTGATTCCACTTATTTGAAAATAATTACAAATACGGACGGCAGTAGCAGTAGGAAAAATAACATTGTTTGATTCAACTTCAAAGTATCCACTGTGCGTTCAGTTTTTATGATACATGTACAAATTTTCTTTCACCTGAAAGGCCCTAGAAATACCCTGTAAAGAGCATATTCAGCAACTGGACTTAAGTTTCTAAGTAATACTCCCTATTCTAAGAAGCCAGCAATCCTTGGAGAAATGGCCCATTCCAGGGCTGAAATAGAAAACGCCTGTAAGACTAGAAAACTTTTTGAGCCAAAAAGTATGTTGATCAGAGTAAAGAATATACCGGAATTCTTTCAACTATTTTCAGAGTTGAAGGAAAGCTGTAATATTGATAAGTTACCCCAAAACACCAATCTGGAGTTTGACTAAGGGGATTCACTGCAGATAAAACTTTATTCAGCAATTTTTTTAAATAAAGCTTTTGTTCTTGGCTAAGTAAATTATCTTAACAGCTAACAGCGTCTTGTTCACTGCTGCTGCCACGTCATTTAACTTACTTTTTCAGTTGCATATATATGACCCTGAAGCCTTTACTGGCCCCTGGGGCCCACCTACCTCAAATGTTCTGACCTTCAAATGGCTGACTTGGTCTATCAATCATGTCTTCCTTTAAAAATTATCTTTCAGCCAGGTGCAGTGGCTAACGTCTGTAATCCCAGCACTTTGGGAGACCAAGATGGGTGGATTACCTGAGTCCAGGAGTTCGAAACCAGCCTGGCCAACATGGTGAAACACCTCTCAACAAATGTAAAAATTAGCTGGGCGTGGTGGCACGTGCCTGTGATACCAGCTACTCGAGAGGCTGATTGCAGCAGTACACTCCAACCTGGGCAAATGAAGTAAGACCCTGTCTCAGAAAAAAAAAAAAAAAAAAAAATTTCTACATGGAATGGTCATCCTCATCCTCACTTGAAATACTCTTGTAACAGGTGGTTCCAGTGTTTTAAACCCATTAAGAGGACTTCCACAGCTAAACTTTCTATGGACTGGCCACTTGTATTTCTACCTGTATTTCCAGGTATCTCAATTCCTTGAATGTAGCCTCAATTGTTCTGTTCTGGGACCTTTGCCTGTATTTCCTCCTGTTCCTCCACCTGAACTGCTCACCGTTCAGAGGTTCTTCCTCTCACTTCACAAATTCCTACAGATTCTCAAAATCTCAGCTAAAAGCTCATACAAATTTTGAGCCTTCTGGTAGCAACTATTTTACAACCTCATGAAATTTACCAGAGCCGCAATTGCCTAATACATTATGAATGATAAAATTATGAATAAGACCTTCAACTCTGGATATGAGATCTGTCGACTTCTGGCACTCACGTTTAATCACACATTCCTAGTTCCTTCTTTTTGGCTTTAAGTTTAAAACATGTAAGAAACTGGCTGGGCGTGGTGGCTCATGCTTGTAATCCCAGCACTTTTGAGAGGCCAGCACTTTGAGAGGCTGAGGTGGGAGGATCACTGGAGGTCAGGAGGTCGAGACCAGCCTGGCCAACATGGTGAAAACCCATCTCTACTAAAAGTACAAAAATCAGCTGGGCTCAGTGGCACACGCCTGTAATCCCGACTACTTGGAATGCTGAGGCACGAGAATCGCTTGAACCCGGGAGATGACAGCTGTAGTGAGCCGAGATCATGCCACTGCACTCCAGCCTGGGCAACAGAGCAAGACTCTATCTCAAAAATAAAAATAAATGGATAAAACATGTAAGAAACTAAAAAGCAATGCTTTTATGTAATATTTTATCCTGGGTTTCAAAATAATAAAACTCAGTTTGTTCTAGGATCCACAAAACTTAAAATGCCCAATTTCCCATAGGAAAATTAAACAACCAGACTGACTTATTTCCCGCCAGTAATCTATTATTTCTAAATACCCCATTTCTTCTTTTATTCAGACTCTTGGCTTGAGGATGACATGGTCGGGCCTCAATAAGCCCACTGTAAGTCAAAAATATCATAAGTAGAAGATGTGTTTAATACTCCAATAAACTCATAAAGCTGAAGTCTTAAGTCAAACCATTATAAGTCAGGGACTGTCTGTACTAAGATTTTAGTGAATAACTTAATTTTTGTAAACTGGAAAACCTGACAATATGATGTCAAAAGGAAGAAACACAAGATACAAAGCATACTGTATTTTTGAAAATATACATCAATCAAAATTTCTTATGAATACTTATCCTTGAGTAAAATAATTTCATATACCAACAAGGATGTTTCCATTTCTGTAAAGTCATGTAAGTGATCCTCAATCAGTCCAAGAACTTGGCTTTTTATCCAGGTTATATTTTAATATCTGGAGTTTTAATCCAGCATACAAAAATCACCAGTATACATCTATTAAGTTAACTGCAGTATTATTTCACCATCACCATTTACATGTACTTTTCAGGTATCAGAGACTTAGTGCTTTAAGTAGCAAATTACCTAAATTATGAACACATATTTCCAAAAACAAAATCAAGCTCATAATTACCAAGTATATATGTACAGTGCAGATTAAAAAAAAACTGAATTAGCACATATTTCTCTTTTCTAAAGCTCCTATGAAGAACTTACACTCTTCTGCACTACCAATCTATTCTGTACATTTAAAATAACATTTGTTTTGATTTAAAGTCAAAAATATAAAGGCTTAAATTTTTGTAAGACTAACCCATAAAAAAGGACTCCAATTTTAAACCAATCCCTGAAACCAAAGCATTCAAATATTTGAATATTAGTTCAATATTTCTACATAGCACGATAAGATTTTCAGTTACTTCAAGTTTTGTCTTTATTTTTAATAATGGGAATGGCCTACAATTACAATAAACAATTAATTCAGTTATTTTAGGGGCCTTACCATATCATTAACCTATTCACACAACAAAAATATTTTTATGAAAGTTAATATATCCTTTCCTGATTAAGTGTGCTAAAACAGAAATAGAGGTAGAATCCCATTTTTCTTAAGTACCACTCTACAAGCCAGTTCCACACAATTAAGGTATTTTTGCAATCTAAAATAGTGATGCTAATACTGCTTCAGTAAGCTAGATTTACTAATTTAAGAATCCTAAGAAATTATATATGTGGCTTTCAGACATCCATGTTAAACTATCAACTTGTGGAATTTGTGGAACACTTACCCTACTTGAGTGACCATAAAGCAAACAACTCTAAAATTTTTTCATATCAGTTTTCTTTATAAGTGATTATATGATATTTCACCATTTCTAACAGGAAAAAATGAGACTTACTTGGCAGTGTGCATGGGCTGCTGGAAACTACAATCAGAGTGTAAAGACAAATCTCAAAAATGTTTGTAGATAACTCAGAATAATAACCCAGAATATAACCTATCAGGAACTATGGAATTCCATTTTAGTCTTCAAATAATAAACTCCACTTAGCAGGGATTGTGAGGTTGCTCTTAAAATTATATATTTACAGAACATAGTGGCCTCAGCACAAAATAGCTCCCTCTAGACATCACTACTCTCCACTCTTCAAAAAAAAAGTATATACATTCATTTAAAAAAAAACACCCAAAATATCACCAGTACATTTTATAAAATTAAATCCAAATTTTATTAAGGATTTCAGGTTACATACTTCAAATTTCTAGAATGGAATGGAATCATTTTGGAACTGGAAAAATGGCATAAACACTGACGTCCCTTAAAACTTCAATTTTATAAAGAAAATTCTTCTGCAAACCACATCCCCTTTATGTAACAAGACTAGGTATTATCTACACCTTCACTTTGGCAATAGCTATTTCCTAAAGAATGAAAAAGATGATTTTGCTACTTCAGTTCATTAAAAATGGGATTCTATCTTTGAAGTTCAGAAAAAGCTGCATTTCGATGAACTATGGTTAAAAAAAAAAAGCACATAGTGTCTAATCAAAGCAAAGGAAATCATTTTGAAAATAAAGAAAAAAAGCTATTATAATTGGTTAAGGATTTCCAGTAGTAAGTTAAAATCTCAGGAGAGGAATGGATAGCACTACAAACAATGTGTTCACATTCCAAGACCTTAACACTAACTTCTCAGAAAGGAAGTTTTCATTACCTCTAAAAATCAATTCAATGTAATTTTATTAAGAGCAGGAAATCTAGACCTTCCTCTAATGACAATCCAATAATCCACCCTCACTGTCAAAAAAAAGTTCAACCCCAAAATTAACAGTAATTAGCCTGAGGTATTGTAAATGTGGCTCTACAGTCTGAAATTTAATGGCATCTTTTGTCAAAAATAGTCTTATTTCCACTTTAAGTCTCATGACTACAATACTATAGTGCTATCCCTGTAGTATTTACAATACAGTCATCAAAAATATCTGAAAACAAATCTTGGACCTTGTGAAATAGTGCATCCCTCCACTTCTATAAAAATAGGAGCCACACAAAGATCTAAAAAGAGTGCTGACTGCCCAGATCCAGAACAGAGGTACTTAACACCTTTGTTTTCCAGTTTAGTTATCAAAGCGTGGTGTGAACAAAATGCTTAGTGTCACACTGGCATTACAAATAGGCCCAAAATTTTGAGCTTTTAACAAGATTGAGAAACATTATATGAGATTTAACTCAATATGCCTTAACACATCCATGAGGTAGTTAGGTAAACAGTACTACCCATTTTAATTACACAGTAAACAGAAGCACGGGTAAGTGACATACTCATACTTTAAGCAATAAGAATTAGAAGAAACCATAGAAGCTTGGGGCCTTCTCTCTAGCTCTAACCCAAAGAAAATGAATTTTTTTTTTTTTTTTTAAAAGAAAACAGCATCAATCACTTAAGATTTTCTTCCTCTTTTTTTTTTTTTTTTACACTTGCTTATTAGTATAGCATCTCGTTCCAAAGCTGGTACCTTTTCTTCAACAATGTGTTAAAAACTGAGTATAACCCTTAATTCAAGGTAGGCCTCTACTTCTACCTGAATTGGTACAAAATTAAGACATTATCTTGTAAGAACTAAAATTGTATTTGAAATTTTTATTTTAGCTGCAAAAACAAAAACAAGCAAACAAACAACAAATAACTTGAAAATAGGCTTGTCAAATGATGTAAATTCATCCTTTCCAGGGAAGCAGAAGGTAGACCCTACCACAAAGAAAAGATGCTTAGTTAATGGAGGTTAAATTTAAAAATACAGTTAAATTCAGGCTAACTTCTGAAAATCCCGTTTTATTCACCTCACTGTGGTACCAGTAACTATACTGAGTCAGGTTACTTTACAGTTAACTATGTCACCTAAAACACAATAATCCATTAACACTCTAATAACAGTTATTGGGTGTGGTCATACTGGAAATTCTTAACCATATAGTTGTCTTGCCAATTTTTTTTTTAAACAATAAATTGTCTTAGTATAAGTCACTGCATTTCTGTAACAAAGTAATGAAAGGCACAGCTAATCCAAGCGGACTTAACCCTATTCAACAACCAGCTGAAAAAATACTTTGGTTCTTCAAGGAAAAAATTACAAAAAAAAAAAAAAGGTATTTCCTTTAACAGTTGTTAATTTTCATAGCTGTACTCCAAGAGCTACATAAAAATATTCCAGAAGAACCAAATTATGTAGCAATGAATGAACATGCGTGACAGAATTTGTGCATTCAACATAGCTGGCAGAAAAACTAGTTAAAATGCTAGGTAGAACAAATTGGTCTTTAAAATATCAGTTTCCTGTCCTTTAAAAAAAAATTACCTAGTCTACCAAGAAAATACAAAAACATAAGGCTGTAAGTAAATAAGAGTTGTGTTTAGGCTATTACAGTGCAGGTTATCCTCAAGGCCACATACATCCTGCTTCACTGCTGCTTGCACTCTGCTGGGTTTTGATCCTTCTGTTAAAGGAAAACAACAAGTCAATCTATCTTCTTCTACCTGCTTCAGTGAATTTCTCAATAGTAATTACTGCCTTAATTATAACAGTAGCTCACTGTTGTCAAAAGAAATGGTATAGGACAATGGTGGTAAATTATTTATTTTATTAGCAAGTCACTGAAATGCTAAAATCAAGCTCAAACTTTACACTGTAGAATTAACTCCATAAAATGTGACACACGCTAAACCATAATCTTAAAAAAATAAAGTTACCAAGCAATTTATGTTAGTTATATTACCAATCAGCTTTGTTTTTGCTAATCCTAATATAACAAATTCTCAGGAATAATAGACTAGGACTCTCAGGGACTGAGTAAGAGTAGTTGGAAGGATCTAACAAACTGCACTGCTCCCCAGTTCCCGAACACTCCTACAACCAGATCTTTTAAAAACCTTTATTTTCTAATGCTTAAAAACTGTTACAAATCGTCCCATTAAAATAGAATCCTAGGGTTCACTGTACCTGAAACTATAAAAAGCACGAAGTCCAAACAAAAAACAATGTTTTTTAGAAAAACGTCCACTGAAATTATGTGTACTGTTCACAATGCCAGTGGGACTGAAAAAACAAAGTTATCCAGTCAATAGGCTTTATTTATTAAAGACTTTAACGGAGAGAAACTTGATATTCAAAAACACCAACTCTTACTTTAGCTATCTTAAATTTAATAGAAAGCAGCACTAATTTTGCTCACCTTTGGGTCATAGTCTGGATCATTTTCCTCATCTCCTTCTTCTTCCCCTTCCTATATTAAAGTTCAAAATGCATCCATGAAGTATGTACATAGTAGGTAAACTGGCTCATAATGTAGGGAAAATTTAATACAAGTTACTCTACGGATCAACAGATTTTCATGATTACAGACTTTGATGATAATACAATTTAATTTGAAAGCTTCTAATATGAAAAATTTCCCAACACAACTTGAGACATCCAGACAGCTTTTATTGAAAATAGTTACTGCAGCCAACGTTGGAAAAGTTTACTGCAGCTTTTGACTTCTTCAAAGAGCTGATAACCCTGCAGCAGAACAAAATTATTTGAAATAAAAAAATGTTGCTGAGTTTTGCAATTTATTTATTGAAACCTTATACATACATTGTTTGGCTGTAGAATTCTAAAATCATGTTTTCCAAAATGTTTTTATCCCAAATCACAGAATGATTATAGCAAAGGAATACATAAGTCATTCAATTTGCTTCTCAATGTGTTAACCACAGAGAATTATTTGCTCATTTGGTAAACATTACCTCATCCGCTTCTTCACCTTCTTCATCATACTGAAAAGGAAAAACAGCGTTAAGTGTTGAGTGAATGTAACACACATTTCAGAGTAGCATCAGTAACATTTATCACTGTATAAACTAGTGTCTAAAAAGAGAAAACCTACTTTCCTATCAAGGGGCTGATTATAAATTAAAACACATAGTAGCTGCAAGAATCACTCTGCTCACTGCCAATTTATAAAATTAAAGAACAGAGTACAATCATGTGGATAAAGTGGATGATCAGACAAGTATTACTGTAAATATTACTCACCTACACTTAAGTGTGGAATGCACTGTACGAAAAGGACCTAAAGCCTACTCTAACAATTGCCGTTGAGCAATAAACATATTCAAAACATCTATATGCAACCTAATCTTAACCTAACCATCATTCAATACTACCTTGAATAGAAATTCTATGCCTCCCAGTAAATGTTTTCTTGTGCACTAAAGAAAGTCCTAGCTCTGTGAAGTCAAGGCAAGGGCATAATAGATCTATAGCACTAACCAAACATAAAAAAGTTTCATAAACTCAGAACAATCTTATTAGCAGAAAATTAAAAGCTAAGATAAATGAATCCAAAAATCCTAAGGAGACATACTTAAAACCCAGAAAAGCTATATACAGAACATCAGTAATTAGCCTAATTTTGAATTATATTATGTCCTGCTTCTTAAAAACTAAACTAATCTATTACCAATTCTGACCACTATACCCTCAACCAATTATTTCTTTGCAGGATTCAAATTCGCTTACATCATCATCATCATCTTCAATAGCTTCTCCAGTAAAATATAACACTGATCTTGGGATTATACGCTCACGTAAAAAGTGACCAATTTCGAAGTCTGCAGCAAGGATAGCTTCAGCATCATCATCCTATTTTTAAAGGAAAACAAAAGCAGAAAATTTAGGAATAACTGTGTTACTTAATTTGGCACATGTAAGACTCTTAGAGGCTGGGTGTGATGGCTCACAACTGTAGTCCCAACACTTCAGGAGGCCAAAGTAGGAGGATCACTTGAGCCCAGAAGTTCAAGAGCAACCTAAGCAACATAGTGAGACGCCCCCTGCGTTTGTACAAAAAATAAACAATTAACTGGGCAGGGTGGCACACGCCTGTAGTCTCAGCTACTTGAGAGGCTGAGGTGGGAAGATTGCTGGAGCCCAGCAGCTTGAGGCTGAAATGAGCTGTGATCACACCAGTGTACTCTAGCCTGGGCAACCGAAAAAAAAAAAAAAAAAAGACAGACTCTTCAGTTTAAATTATATGATGAAGGGAAGAAATGCTCAACTTTACTTTTTACTTTCCATGATTTTTCTCACACCATGTTAACAAATGATTTGTCATTTTTAAATTTCCTTAATAACTTTTCCAAGTTTTTAACAAAAAGAAAATAAGCTAGCAGGCCAGTATGCATACTAAGATAAATTGTGAAGAATAAAAATTAGAACTGCTTAGTTTTTGCTGGTTTAAACATAAATACATAAAAGCAACTGTTACATGTCCGCAATTTTCCTTTTAAAATATTATTGAAAACACCAAATAGAAAAATAAAAAAAAAAACCCTTGGGTTATTGTTAATATATAGTTATTGTTAATATTGTTAAGTACATAGCAAATAGAAGGACATAATAAACAACCACAGAGGATCACTTTATAGTTCCTAAAAGACAGTACCCAAACAGCTGTACAGTTTTAAGTCTACTAATCCCAAATGAGACAGTCCTAGTTCAGAAAGACAATATACTAACTAAATCAGGTGCCCCTAGCACTTTTCTTTTTTAGAGACAGGGTCTCGCTATGTTGCCCAGGCTGGCCTCAAGTGATCCTTCCACCTCCGCCACCAGAGCAGCTGGGACTACAGGTGCCTGAAGCTGTACCTGGCTTAGGATTTCTATTTAATAGAAAAGCACAGGGCAAAAGTGGGTCTGACATTATTCACAATTAAAATAATCCCACTTTGGCCTGGCTCATGCCTGTAATCCCAGGACTTTGGGAGGCCAAGGCAGGCAGATTACCTGAGGTCAGGAGTTCAAGACCAGCCTGGCCAACATGGTGAAACCCCGTCTCTACTAAAAATACAAAAATTAGCGAGTTCAATGGCACGTGCCTGTAATCCCAGCTACTCGGGAGGCTGAGGCAGGAGAATTGCTTGAACCCGGGAGGCAGAGGTTGTGGTGAGTGGAGATCGCACCACTGCACTCCAGCCTGGATGACAGAGCAATACTTCATCTCAAAAAAAAAATAATAATAATAAAATAAAATAATCCCACTTCTATGATACTAAACAATGATACAAGTTCTATGATACTAAACAATGAGCACACCCTCTGTGAATTCCATGAATGTTTGAGTCAACAACATAATCTAATAAATAGAAAAATCCAAAAGGGGGTGGGGAGGAATTCAAACCACAGGTGGAGGTTTTCTATCCTTAACTAGACTGTTTTGTCATCATCAATATTTAGTAACAAACAAACAAACAAACAAAAAAAAACCCCAAACTTGAACACAAACTCCAACCCATCCACTGATATGAAAATAGTGTGATGCTCTATCTTAATACTTAAAGTAGTTTTTCTCACCTGAAATTCACACTGCTTTATGTTCTCTTTTTTTGTCCTATAAGCCAAGCCAGAAATACTTACTTTTGCCTTTTACAAATTTGTTCTAAGTCTTAGCCAAGAGTATTCCAATTCAAAAGTATTCAGTTTAGGTTAATTTCTAATTCCATATATGTACAAACTATTTAAACTATCTCAGTTAATTTAAATTCAAAAACATGCCCAAAAGAAAACCAAATTCAAAACATACCTGCCCTACCTTGTGTGTATAGACTTTCTTTAAGGTTGTTCCTCAGTTCAGTCTATATGGCAGGAACATTTCATGTTCTTTGCCATATGCCATATATGTGAACATACTTAGTCACAATATGAAACCATATTTACATTGGAGTAACAAATTCAGGAATGAATTTGAACCATAATGTAGTTAGGAATGTAACAGTATAAGTGACTTAATATATTCTGGTTTTACTAAGGAAGACAACAGTTTTGAAAAGTTAAATCCCTCACAGCAATATGTGAAGTTTCAAAAGAAAAGAAAACCTTAAGCTTTTTATCTCAGTGTTTCTCAGCAGAAGCACTGATATAATTTTGAATGGAATTATTTTTCATATCCAAAAAGTCTGCCCCATGCATTGTAGGCCTCAGAACTCAATGTAACAACCATCCCACTCTCCATTTTTGAAATTCAGTGCTTTAATTTCAAATATACTTAACAATTCAATAAATATATAACAATTCAACTTACCAGATCTCCACTCTCAGGAACTGCAAAATTGAGAAAAGAAATTACAATGAATAAGAAGCTAAGCAATGCTTTTTATAAAACAACCGTTAATACTCAAGCTAAAACATTATTTACCTTCAGGAGGGGCAAAAAAGTTAAAGAAAGAGTCATTGGAAACTGTTTTAGTCACAGTACGAACTGTCCCACGTCCCTTGTGTTTCTGCTTCTTCTTAATAGTTTTCAAAGTGACATTCTTTCCTTTTTTCCAATCTATCTGGCACCTTGCAAAACAAAGAAGAAAAATCTATTACAATTGACAATCTTTCAACTGCTAAACTTTTAGAAGTAAATGTTCTATTTAGATTTCAAATTTTAGAAGGGTGAATTGCTTCAAATGTTTTCTATAGCAGTATAAAGGGAAAAATTTTATTTCTAAGCAAATATTTAAAATAAACACATTTACAATTAGCACAAACACATAGTATAATTTAAAGAAGCATTCCTCTGCAAAAATATATGTGAGACAGTCATGGGTCCAAGGAGAATTACAGGAAACTTGATAAGCACTTTTCAGAAAACATATTACCAAAATGTTCAGAGACAGACTATGTACATATGTAACTGAAAATAACCGAGTATACAAATCAAGTATAACAAAAACAGAAAAAACATTTTGTTAAGGTAGTAAAATTAAACTCACCCTGTACAACCCATAATTTCTGGTCCATCAAAAGAAAAGGGATCAGAATCATCTGGTTCTGACCTCATCCTGTATGTCTTTGTCAGCACTTCATTTGTAAAATATTCATTGGGTTCAAAGTGAAATTCTAAGACAAAACTCTGGGGAGAGGAAGCATAAAAATCAGTTAAATACCTACCTCACATATTTCAGTACTTTAGTAAACACAGCTTCATCTGTTTTTATAAATATTCTAAATGATAATTTTTTTTTCTACTCTGAAATACAATCTTCTTTTTGAGACTGAGTCTTGCATTGTTGCCCAGGCCGGAGTGCAGGGGCACAATTTCAGCTCACTGCAACCTTTGCCTCCCAGATTCAAGTGATTCTGGTGCGCCAGCCTGCCAATTATCTGGGATTATAGGTGTGTGCCACCACACCCAGTTAATTTTTGTATTTTTAGTACAGACAGTGTTTCACCACGTTGGACAGGCTGGTATTGACCTCCGGACCTCAAGTGATCCACCCACCTCGGCCTCCCAAAGTGCTGGGATTACAGGTGTGAGCCACTGCACCCAGCCATGAAATATTTAAGAATGGGACAGACTGTCAGATGAGCCCCAAATTATGTTAAAATCAAAAAAATTACGTTAAAATAATAATGAGGTACAAATTGAACTGAATAGAACTTAGTTTCAATTTACATCTATTAAATAATTAACATGTTTACACAACAGGCTAGGCATTCCTGAATAAAGTGACCATGTTGCCTCCCTTACTCCCCAACTACTGGAGGAATCAGGCTTTTAAATAGTAGACTAAACGTGAACTTGACACAGAAAAAGCCCAACCTTAAGCATCTACAGCCTATATTCTTAGCAGTTTTGCCCTTAGTTGACATTAATTCTGGTGGTTTGGTGGACAGCTTGTTGGCTGATCTTTCCTCATTAGGGAGTGGGCATCCTCTAACATCAGTTTTGTGTAATTCCCAAGCTCATGCCTTTTAATGCAGAAAAAGTACTTATTCATGTTCCCTTGGCATTATTTTTATCCACTTATCCAGGAACAAGGATTGTCTGTGTTTCAAACACAATTTATGATCAGAAGGAGGAAAAGGAATAAATACTGCCTCACAATTAGCAGCATCCAAATATTTATTCACTATAACAAAGAGCACCAACCTTACCCTTGAATGTTATCTTTTTAAAAGCTTCTATTTATCTACCTGTAAGCATGTTACAAAATTATAAATATTTCAAAGTTCTTTTACCATAGGCTGGCCAGCATCTGAGAACTTCACTTTAATATCTTTCAAGTGCTTCAGAATAGGTTCATCGTGTTCCTTCAAATTAAAAAAATAATAAAAATGAATAACATGGCATTCGAGGACTGTGTTCTGTTACTACACAAACACCAGCTGACTGAGACATAATATATTTCAAAGTAGTTTTGTATAGCAATTATGAACCTTAAGACTTACTCTCCAGGTTATGGCTTATACTAAAGCTAATTTATACTGTAGTTCTACTGCCACTGGTAGAGAAAAAGTGTCCAAATAGACAACTGAATTATTATATAGGTTGAAAAATCCAAAATCAAGTCTAAATAAGGCATATCTACTTTTAAAATGTTTCCTGATTGTAATTGCTGCCTTTTCCAGCTGCTTGTCCCCTTCCTCCTGGTCGTTCCTTTTCCACTTTGCTAAAGTAGAATTGTAATAAGCAGTAATTGTGTGAAGATCATTTCTTTTTCTCCATGTAACTTCCAACAATGACAAGACAGGGCAACATGTACTACTACAATGTAGACGGTAGGGGCTCACTCAAGAAATGCTTGAGGCAGTTTCCCAAAGGTGACAACAGTTATGGTTTGCCAGAGAATGTAACCATTGTGAATGAGTTTAACATCTTTATGGTATTCTTTTAAAATGCAAATTTCTCCTGGAAGAGTTAAGGGAATTGCATAATTGCAGCTATAAGATTAACTTTCCCATCATACTTCCATACTAAGTATGTAAAGACAAAAGGCACAGGGTTATAAGAAAACACCAGTCGATAATGAGCCATTATCAATGGGACCATTTCATTATCTCATTTTTTAAAATAAACTAATTTATTTGATTACATTAATCAAAGCTGTAATTTCTCTTCTACAGATATTAGCTATTTCAAAAGTAAGCAATCATTCTAGAAAGATCAACACTGAAGAGAACAGTGATCACAGCCATTTAAACTTCAAAGGTTTACCCTTCAAAGTAAACTGGTACATTTATGAATAAAATTACCTGAACCATATCACTGAGCAAGTCAACATTCTTAAAAACAGTTAACCAAAATTCAGGAATTCCTTTGGGGTCTTCTTTTTCTTCATCTTTTTTCTCATCTTCAATCTTGGCCTTTTCTTTCAATTCCTCCTTGATTAAGTGACAGCAAACATTATTTAATACATAGATTAGACCTCATGATAAAGTAGCAAAGGTATAAAAACCAAAAAGCACAGTCACCAGATATTACCTTCAAAGTTCTAGTCTATCTGTGTAAACACCGCCGTTGCCCATAACAAACCTTAATCCCATCAAAATTACTGCTACCACACCCCTCCAAAGAGAACCACTAAGGTGACCAAGATGTGTAGGAAAAACCATTTTAGTAAAAAAAAAATGTAAAAACTAATTAAAAATGAAGACTTAAGCATAATAAACAAGAAAAGCAACAGAAATACTAATTTGGTCCATTGCCTCACCCCATGGTGTTCTTAATCAAAACATTATATTCTCTTTACCAAACAACATAAAATAGCAATGCTAGAGAGGTGGAACACTTAACACAGCACTGAATGTGTGTCACAGCTCTGCCATTATTCATTGTGGGCAAGTCACTTAGAAGCCTCCATGTCTTCACTTGAAAATGGCAACAATCCTCAGCCTACCATGAAGTTAAAAAAAAAAAAAGAATATAATGAATCTACAAACTAAAAACTGTAAGCCAGGCGCAGTGGCTCACGCTTGTAATCCCAGCACTTTGGGAAGTGAGGTGGGTGGATCATTTAAGGTCAGGAGTTGGAGACCAGCCTGGCCAACATGGCGAAACCCCATCTTTACTAAAAGTACAAAAAATTAGTCAGGCATGGTGGCGCACGCCTGTTATCCAGTTACTGGGAGAAGGAGGCAGAAGAATTGCTTGAACCCAGGAGGTGGAGGTTGCAATAAGCCGAGACTGCACTCCAGCCTGGGCAACAGAGACTCAAAAAAACTATAAAAATAGGCTGGGCACAGTGGCTCAGTGGTTCAAGCCCATAATCCCAACAGTTTGGGAGGCTGAGGTGCGAAGATTGCTTGAAGCCAGGAGTCTAAGACCAGCCTAGGCAAGAAGACTCTGCCTCTACAAAAAAAAGTAGATTAAGCTGGGCATAGTAGCTTCAGATAGTCCTAGCAACTTGGGAGGCTGAGGTGGGAGAATAGCTTGGGCCCAGGAATGAGCTGCAGTGAGCCAAGATCATGCCAGTGTACTCCAGCCTGGGCAACACAGCAAGTCCCTGTCTCTTAAACAAAAAAACTATAAAATGTAAGGAAATAATGACTTTTTGAGTACAGATGGTGGTGCCAGGTTGAATAACAGTTCATCTGCATTATCATTCTTACAAAAAGGAAAAATATTTCCTAGGTATAAAAATACAACTGATGCTCTAGGGAGGCCCTGGCCGGGGAAACGAGTTGCATTTGTCGGCTCAGCTGGCAACAGTGGCGGGAGCAGAGCTGGCGGGGCCTGTGCAACTGCCTGGGTTTGTGAAATGGCTGCTGACGTTTCCGATTCCAATAGGGCTGACTGCAAAGGAGACCCAAGGAACAGAGCCAAGTTAGATGCTGATTACCTACTTTGAGTCCTTTATTGTGGAGTCTGTTCATTACCAATAGAGTACTGTGAATATATGCCTGATGTTGCTAAATGTAGACAATGATTAGAGAAGAATTTTCCAAATGAATATGCAAAACTTACTGTGGAAAATTCACCCAAACAAGAAGCTGGAATCTGTCAAGGTCAAGGAACAGCAGGGGAAGAAGAGGAGAAGAAAAAACAGAAGAGAGGTGGAAGGGGTCAAATAAAACAAAAAAACAAAGACGGTACCACAAAAGGTTACTATAGCCAAAATTCCCAGAGCAAAGAAATATGTGACAAGGGTTGTGGCCTTGTAACTTTTGAAATTGATCTTAAATCACACAAAGATTTTTTGCTCAAAAATTCTCCTGTGGTGCCTCAGTAACAGAGGAGGATGAAATTATCATTCAAGGAGACTTTACAGATGACATAATTGAGGTCATTCAGGAAAAACAGACAGAAGTAGATGATGACAGCATCGAAGATCTTGGAGAAGAAGTGAATTTGAAAATTTGTCTGTAGTTAATGGCCTGAACTGACAGTAGATATGGCCAAAGGGAGAGAGGCCTACATATATATATATATATATATATATATATATGTATTCTACAGTAAAACTGTAGACTGCCTTCGTTCTTGGCATTTTCCCTGTTCTGTACAAGGCTGCTTATTTTTTTATTGCCAAAGTCAAATAAACAGGAGAGACTGTCATGCTCATACATGAACAGAATTTAGTCAAATAAAAAATTTTGGTTATTTGGTACTTTTTTTTTTTTTTTTTGAGACGGAGTCTCACACTGTCGCCTGGGCTGGAGCGCAGTGGTGCGATCTCGGCTCACTGCAACCTCGACTTCCCGAGTTCAAGTGATTCTCCTGCCTGAGCCTCCCGAGTAGGTGGGATTAGAGGCACCCGCCTCCACACCCAGCTAATATTTTGTATTTTTAGTAGAGATGGGATTTCACCATGTTGGCCAGGCTGGTCTCGAACTCCTGACCTAGTGATTGGCCCACCTAGGCCTCCCAAAGTGCTGGGATTACAGGCATGAGCCACTGCGCCTGGCCTTTCTCTTTCTCTCTTTTTATTTTTTGAAAAACCCGGTAGACTTTGCGGTGACCATTTTTGTTGATTATTTTACTGATCTAAAGCTGAGTGATTTTTTAAAAGAATTTGAATTTGGCTTCCTCACCAATAATATGTCTCCTTGCTTCTCTGATGTGATAGTTTTGAGATGGGTGAGAATCTAATATATCTGTGGTTGAATTTGCTTTGCTGTTATCAAGTCCACCCTATGGGCACAATAACATACTGTTGGTAGGAGTTGTTGGAGCTATTCTGGAGATTATTTGGTAAAGTATACTAAAAGCCTTAAAACCACGTATGTGCACTGTTTGAACCAGTAAGCCACTTCTTTGAAATTAGAAGACATTAGAAGAAACAATAAGCCTTGCAATAAAACTTATGGATGAAAGTATTCATCACAATATGATTTATAATAAAAAATTGCAAATGTTATAAGTGAACAATTGGAAAATGGTTAAGGAAGTGATGGTGCACTGTGTGGTATGTTTATGTTTAAAGATGTGGTATGCATATGTTTAAAGAATCATATTTTCTAAGATTATTTGGAAACATGTTTGGTAATGTCAAGTGGGGGCACCCCAGATACATTTTAGACATTTAATCATCATCGTTCTGAGAGGAAGGCCATTCAGAGATGCTAGAGGTTCTTATTCTGGATATAAATTACATGAGTAAAATTCTACTAACCAATTAAAAATAATGTACAACCATGTTCAATATACAGTCCTGGAAATAGCAATTATGTCTTTTCACAAGAGAAAATGACAGTTTTAATGCTCCATCAGATGAATTCGAACTTTAAGTCAGGTGCTGCAAATTGGAAATAAGACTTGTGGTGTTTTAAACTGCTGTGGACACTTAAGAAACTTAGAACCCATGAAACCGCTGCTTATTGCCATGCAAATTACAATCTTGAATGACTGTTTTTTAAAAATAAAGTAATAGAAAAACGTGTAATAAAGACGTAAAATTAAAAAATGAAAAAATACAACTGGTTATATAATATTGTACTCCATCATTAAATGCTAACATTTCTGACAAGTCCTAAGATTTTATCATCTTAAAAACATACCAAAATAAAGTTGGTACTAACCGAAATCTCATCTTCTTCATCTGGTTTCCATTCACATTCTTCTTCCGTAGGTTCATAAATTGCATTAATAATTTCAAATCGCTAAAATGATTTAAAAAAAAAAGGCTGTATAAAAACACTGGCATCCAAGCTAAAACCAGTGGTTTCTCACTAAGAAGTCTTACAAATTTAACAAATGCATACCACAACTTTAACTGCTATTATTGATAGTTCCTCCAAGTGCTGCCTCTAATAACAATTTCAATGAGAGTTCTAAAGATTAACCTCTTCCAAGTCTGCTTATGTTTCTAGAATTCGTCTTCTAGAATGTTAAATTAAACAAAGTAGGAGAAAGCATTACCTTATCAAATAGAGGCTGATAGAGAACAGCATACTTCCTTTCAAGATCGTGAACTTCCTCATAGAATTTGGCTTCTATCTGTGCACATTTAACTTGCAGGTTTTTGAGAGCATTCACTCGTCTTTTAACTACCCTAGGCAGGCTGAAAGGTTAGAAATCAGTTATATAGCATCAGAGTAAAATGGAAGTCACACTTCTTTTGTCATACTGAAACTGAAGCATTGGAGTTAGTGAATGACAGGTTTTTTATCTGAAGCAAAAGGTAGATTCAAAGTAAATAAAAATCAAATAGATATAAATACATTGATCCACTGGCTATATTTCAAAAGTAGAAATGTAACTGGGTAAATTGATAAACAAAATGTAAATCATATTGTCAACCCTAAATCTTTACCCAAGTTAAGTGTTGGACTTGTCATTGCTGAAGTCATGGACAGACCATCTTAATTCTGAGAACAATGATTACTTGGATTTTTCTTTTACATATATCTCACCCATACAAGTTATTAGGAAAAAGGAGGGGAGCATAGACATATCAGGAAAAAGGACAAGATTCCACACACCATTATTTTTTTAGTCTCCATATTTAATTAGGAATTAGTAATTACATTATTAAATACAAGTGTAACATACTATAAAGAGGAGACATGTATTTTTAAAATAACAGCTTTAGGGCCAGGTGCTATGGCTCACAACTGTAGTCCCAGCACCTTGGGAAGCCGAGGCAGGTGGATTCCTTTAGCCCAAAAACTCAAGACCAGCCTGGGCAACATGACAAAACCCTGTCCTTACAAAAAATACAAAAATTAGCTGGGTGTGGTGGTGCATGCCTGTGGTCCCAGCCACTTGGAAGGCTAAGATGAGAGCATCACCTGAGCCTGGGATGTCGAGGCTGAATTGAGCAAGATTGCACCACCACTGCACTCCAGCCTGGCTGACAGAATGAGACCCTGTCTCAAAAATAAATAACAGCTTTGATGAGATAAAGTTCATACACCATACAATGAACTGTGAAGCACTATTTTGTTAAAATTTTATTTTAGGTTTAGGGGTGTATGTGAAGGTTTGCTATACAGATTATTTTATCACCCAAGTATTAAGCCCAGTACCCAATACTTAATTTTCTGCTCCTCTCCCTCCTCCCACACTCCACCCTCAAGTAACCCCAGTGTCTGTTGTTTCCTTCTTTGTGTTCATGAGTTCTCATCATTTAGCTCCTACTGGTAAGTAAGAATGTACGATATTTGGTTCTCTGTTCATGTGTTAGTTTGTTAAGGATAATAGCCTCTAGCTCCGTCCACGTTCCCACAAAAGACATGATCTCGTTCTTTGTATGGCTGCAAGTATTACGTGGTGTATACATTTTCTGTATCAGATCTGTCACTGATGGGCATTTAGGTTGATTCCATGTCTGCTAATGTGAACAGGGGGCACTGATTTTTAAAAGGTTATACACACTAGGTTATGAGTCTCCTAAAGAATGATTAAACCTCTCTAACAATAAATGTTCACACTTAAAATTTAAATAACTTCAGGGAATCTGTGCAACAGATACAAAATCCAGGTTAAACTTTCCTGCCACAAACTTTTGTAAATCAAATAATTCACTTACTTAGCCACCAGTTTACTTAAGATTATTAGAAATAAAAAACAAACACTTGAAGATATCAACTTTCTATTTCTGTTAATTTTAAGTGAAAAGCACTATTCTGCCAAGGTGGTGAACTGGCATGGGCTTCTGGCTTTTCTTGCTCCCCCAAAAAGCTAATCCCAGAAACTTTAGAACAAGAATGAAGTAACTACTGAGGCACACACACACCATAAGCAATTTCAGGTAAGACTGGAGGTTGTGTTTAACTGTACAGGGTAACCAACAACTTAGGGAGGGAATGGCCACAGCAGGTAGCAGTGCGGACAAACTGGAAGATAGCAGTTCCGCAAGAAAGCTTTTTAAGTTCTGCTCCTGCCTTGCAACAATCGTTGTCTGTCATCTTCACCCTTCACAAGAGCCCAATGCGAGGGTTGATGAAAGCTGCACGGTTCAAAGCCTTCAAACATGTATTTGATCCAATCTAGGAATGATGAATTGACAACCAAAGGAGACTAGTCCCCCACCCTACAAAGCACACCATAAAAATTGCCTGGACTGGCAGCAAACTTTCAGTGTAAGGCAACTAGTGCTCTACTACTTAGGCTCACCCTGCGCCCTTCTCCTTGTCACAGACCTTCATTTCTCCCCAAATATTCATTATTAGGGTAACTGGTATTGCCTAATGTGCTGGAGCTCAGAGAATAACTAGAAACTTCAAGGGTACAATTTCTATGAAAGAGTGAATGAAATGATTATCATCTGAAGCAGCATAATTAGAGAATTTAAACAAGAATGTAAATATACTTAGAGATGAGGAAGATTGACATGCAACAAGACCAAGAAATCTACAACAGACTGGGAATGTTAAGTATGAAAAATACAATAACTAAAATAGGCAACAAATAAGAGAAACAGGATAGATTCGACTGAAGATAAAGTCCATGATGTTGAAAAGTTCTACCAGAAGGCAGCATGAAAGACAGATGGAAAATAGAAAAGCTCTGAGATATGGACGACAAAAGTAGCAATAGCTGACAGAGAAGGGGTACGATCTCTTCACATATGAGAATGATACATTTCTCAGCATTAAAGCAATATAAAAATCCTTACTCTGCTTCCTAGACATGTTAATGAGATTTATGAATATCACAGACAAAAGAAAATTCTAAAGGTGTCCAGTGAGAAAGAATAACCTACAAAGAAAAAGGAATCAGACTAACAACAGGCATTAAAAGAAACACTGAAATAAAGAAAAAAATAAATTGTAGTTTTTAAGAACTCTGAATTTACTATTTCATAACCAAACTATTATTCAGATATAAAAGCAGGACAAAAATTATATCAGGTATACCAGGCTTCAGGTTTGCCACAGATACTCACTATATATTACTAAAAGCAACTTTTGAGGAAAATTTTTTAAAAATCCAGCAGATTCTATTTAAGGTATGGGTGTGGTCAAATATCTTGGTAAATTTCTTTCCTTGAAGGGAAAAATAGAGGGCCAGAGAAAGCACATTTATGAACAATATAAATATTGGTAAATTTAAGAAATCAACAGGGGTAAATAAACTTAGATATTAGGTTATAAGCCACTACCATAGTAACAAAAATCAATGCCATTAACTTTGGAACCAGAAGGCGACTTGATCTATCCAATGGGAAGCAGAAAAGAAGGAAGAAAGACCCAAAGTAAAATAAATTAAAAAATAGAGAAAGATGGCAGCAATAAATCCAAAAACAATACAACTTCTAAGAAATGCAACTAATAATAAAGAAGCAAACATTGAGGCCGAGTGTGGTGGCTCATGCCTGTAATCCCAGCACTCTGGGGAGCCCAGGCAGGTGAATCACTTTAACTCGGGAGTTCGAGACTAGCCCAGGCAACATGGCAAAACCCCATCTCTACAAAAATACAAAAATTAGCCAGGCATGGTTGTGCATGCCTATAGTCCCAGCTACTTGGGAGGCTGAGGCAGGAGAATCACTTGAGCCGAAGGATGAGGCTGCAGTGAGCCGTCATTGTGCCATGGCACTCCAGCCTGGATGACAAAGCGAGACACTGTATCCAAAAAATAAAAGCAGCAAACACTGATACTAGAGGAAGACACACAGATGAAAAGATGGAAAAAAAAGACATACTAGGTTAAAAGTTTAAAAAAAAAAAAAAAAAAAAAGAGGCTGGGGGTGATGGCTTATGCCTGTATTCCCAGCGCTTTGGAAGACCAAGGTGGGCCCAACAGTTCGAGACCAGTCTGGGCAACATAGGGAGACCCCCATCTCTACAAAAATAACAGCCAGGCATGATGATATGTACCTGTGGCTCCCAGCTACTTGGGAGGCTGAGGTGGGAGGATCACAGTGAGCCATGAGTGTGCCACTGTACTCCAGAGTGGATCACAGAGTAAGGCCTTGTCATAAAAGCTGGGGGTTATTATTGTAATATCAGACAAATAAAAATTATGACCCCCCCAAAAAACATTATAAAACACAAAGGAAGACACATATCAGTAAAATGAAACAAGAGAACAAGAAATGTTCATCACAAATATCATACACCTAATATGGCTCCAAAATATTTCAATCTACAAATGACAGAAAAAACTGTCAGGTCAAACAGACAACCAATAAGCAGAAATAAAGAGAAGCTGAACAATACAATAAGCTTGAGCTATTAATTTCAGCATACAGATCTTCACACTCAACATTTACAAAAGTAAGAGTATTAAGGCCATAAAAAACACAAATTAAAAAATAAAAATCAAATGAATTAAGCATTCAATTTAAAAAACTGGAAAGAATAACATAGAGCAATCCTAAAAAAGAGATAACAGCAGCAGTAACAAAAGACAGTATGGAAAAGGAAAACCAAAAGCAAAATTAATATTCTAAAAACTTAATAAGATCAAGACAACCAGCAGAATTAAGATGCAAAATACAGAATATGAAAACCAGATTTTTAAAACTATTGTAAACTATGTACTAATCAATTTTAAACCTAAATATGTACATGTTTAAAATATGAAACTCCAAAACTGATGAGAGAACTTGAATAAATTAGTATGTTTAAAAAAAAAAAAATTCTCCAAAACTCCCCTGGACCTCTACTTCCCCAACTCCAAAGTCCCAAAGTAAATTTTTAGAAGAGTTCTACCCTAAGAACTGCTAATTGCTATCTTATGCAAGTTGTTTCAGGAAACGAAAAATTTTAAAAGCTGCTCCATTCCTTAGGCAATTGAAATCTTGACTCCAAAAACCAGTTAAATATTACCACTTCCTGAAACTTTCTTTATGCACATACATACATGCATGCACACAACACAAGCTCATTTCACTAACAAGTAAGAACTGTAAAATTCAATTACTCAACAATGTAACAATAACACATCATGATTCAATTTACTACAGGAATGCAAGGCTAGTTTGATATCCAAAATAAGTATTTCCAAAACATGTATTTACTATTTACTTAATATACTGAAGGGAAAAGTTCAATAGAGCATCTTAATTGATACAGTTAAAAAAAAAAACCAAAGGTCAGATTAAAAAACAGTAAATAGGCACTGAATTTAATGGAGATTTTATATTCATTCCCAGTATGAATAGAAATAAGACAAAGAATACTAATGTTTAACACAGTAGTGAAAGTCCTGGTAATGTTGTAAAGAAAAGTATGTGGTATAATGTAATGTGGAAGAACAGAGCTAAAACTGCCATTATTTGCAGATAAAATCTTGTGACTGGGGGGCAAAACAGAACACATTACTACAATAAATTTAGCAAAGTTACTGGATACAAGAGCAACTTAAAAAAAAAAAAAACAGCAATCCTCTGTAAATCAAGAACAGCCAAACAGAAAATACAAAAAAGATGCTATTCACAACAGCCACACAAAATATACAGAAATTAACTTAACCAATAGACTCTATGAGGATAACTTTGAAACTAAAGACACAGAATGTGACCTGAATAATTAGAAGTATGTGGATGAGACAATATTAAAAGATATAATTCTGTAAATCTACAAATGCAATATAATTCCTATCAACGTTTTAAGGTTTTTTTGCTTGTTGACAACCCTGGTAAACTTAACTGTCAAAAATGTGGATGATTGGGGGAGAAGTATGAAAGGATGCAACCTGCCCTGCCAAATATTAAGACAACTATAAAGTCATAGTAATTAAGTATGACAATGACAAGAGACAAAGACCAATAAAACATAAGAGTGCTGCTCAAAGACAAACACGGGTGTTTACAACTTGATATGCAATGAAGGTAGGTGGTACACCTAAATGGGGGAACAATGGATTGATTAGTGAATAGTGTTTAAAAAAAAAAAAAAAACTAGCTCATGTCACTGGAGGAGGACCCAAAATAAATAAATAAATAAATAAATAAATAAATAAATAAATAAACAAACAAACAAACAAACCTGGCTCAAAAAATGAGGCAGAAAAAAAAGGAACTGGAAGCCTACGTACAACTAATACAAAGGTAGACTCTAAAGGGATTTAAGACCTAAATGTAAAAGGTGAAACTATTCAATACGAAATGTAGCAGAAACCAGGAGGGACTTCTTAAAAAGTTTCAAAAGTACAAGCCCTAGGGCAAAATATTTTACTAAAATAAAACTTAACTGTTTACCAGAGGACTCCATGGATAAATTTGTAGAAATGACACATTATTTAGAATGTCTAAAAACTGACAAGGGAATAACATTTGGAATACAAAGACTTTTGCAAAGCATTAAAAAAAAGTTGCAATCCCAACAAGAAAGTGGAAAAAGGGTACCAATGGGCAACGAAAAAGGTTCAAGCATTATGTAGAAAAGCTAAAAACTCATTAGAAATCATAAAATACAAATAAGACAAAATGAGTCCACACCTCTTAGACTGATTTAAAAATAAAAACAAAAACACTATGAAGCTGGATGGTGCCAATTGTTGGCAGACATGAAGATGAATCTATCTTCTTGCATTGAGTACAGTATTTCTGGAAATCATGCTAGAAGTTTAATACTTAAAGGCTTCCACACTCTATGTAGGTGGCAATCCCACTGCTGAGCACACATCTCAAAGAAATTCTCACACAGTTCCTTTACAGGACATGTACAAAGATGTCTATAACAATAGAATTTGTGTTGATAAATAAGTCCATCATAGGAAAAGCAGATAATAAAACACAGCGAACACATACCACAGAGAACTAGGCAACATTTAGAAGCTACTAACTATAATTAACATATAGACAGTAACTGAATGGATCTTAAAATCACAAAAAAGTTTTTTAAATGTGTAAGCTGAGTAAGATATTCATGCTATTAATAATGATTTATGTCATCAGTGAAATAAGAAATCTGTATTTCTTCTAATTCTGTGCATTTCTAACATACCTCTAAACAAATCTCTGAAATGCTCAAGATCAGTACACTTCCTATAAACTTGAACCACAATAAATAAACTTTAAAAGACCAATGCAAACAGGTGGTACTAAGCACAATTTTAAACTTCTAATAATCCTATACTGGATACTAACAGACAATAGGTTTCCACTATTGCATATCTAAATCCTAGATGGTCTTAAAAATAGATACGCCTGCAACGTTGATTATAGAAAGATAAATAAGGACTATGGAAAAGCTGTACCTTTCAATGTATCCTGTTGGTGTTTCTACCAGACCATCAAGTCTTTCTTGAAGGGCTGCAAGAATCTGAGGATTTTGCATCATCTGAACAGTTAGCTGACGTGCTTTAAAAAAAAAAGGGCATCGAAAGAAGGATTTTATGAAAATGTATTATGCTTTTTTAATAGGACAATCCAATCTCATGAAGTTTTCCTAACTGGCCCATAAATTGCTGGTATATCTAATGAGTAGAGACGGGCAGGGAAAGCTAAAGAGAATACACTAAAGGAAAACCCAATGTTCAGGAATAATTCAGATTCCTAATCTATCTCTAGTCAAGACAGTTCTCAAGGCCACTGCCACAACTATATGAACAATATCCTTTCTCTTCCTGGTATCCTGTGTTTCACCCACCTTGCATTTTAAGAAGCTCAAAGCTTCATTCAGATGCCTATCTATGACTCTTGACAGTCCTCTGAATGCAGACAACACATATCAGAAAACTGCAAATATACTGACAGTTTTAGGCCCAGGAGAAAGATGAAGTGAGTGATCTGAATGTTTATGTTTGATGCTTGTGTAATGTATTTCTATGTGTATGAATAAAGTTAATAAAGTTAATAGTTGGGACAGTCAAAGACTGTAACTAAAGCCAAACAAAATGTGGTTTTCAATGGCTTTTTAAAAACATACTCAATCCAAATATGCACTAGACTTATACAAAACAAATTACAGTACTAACCTTCTCTTCATCATCAATACAGTTATTACACAAAGTGCCATAAACTTAATTTTCCCAATTACTTTTTTTGAGGTCAATTTACTTCTGATAATAATTCAATTACTAGATGATGTACACACAGCCAGGATAACCAATACAGATTTTTAAATATCAATATTGGTCACTGAGGATACAGTTCTGTATCTGTTAAGAAAATGTTACTAAACAAAAGCTGAAGCTATTAATACAAGTTCTGAAGTCTTTTCACAATTAACTTCCATCCGGCTTAAAAATGAAAAGCTGAGTCATCTGGTACCTTAATATTCTTGGCGCAGATCTACAAGACATACCCTAAGTAGTACAATCCCCCACCACCACTCCTTTTAAAAATATCTGCTAAAATAAATTGTGAATATTACCTACATTTAATAAATGGCTCTTCTGCTTGAAGGAGTGGATCTTTAAAAAGACACACACTACATGTTCTCCATATATTAAACACTAAACATACTGTTATAAGCACCACATCACAACCTGTAACATTTCTAAATTCAGACAAAACTCATGGGCAGCTGTTTGACACAAGTACACCAAGTCACTCCAACAGTGCAGGATGCAAACAATGACTTCTAATTGAGTTGCTGTATCTATACCTACCCGCCCCTTACACACACACACACACACACACACACACACACACACACACACACTAGAAGTATGGACCAGTAGATAAATGGGACAATGAGCAAGGGTCCAAAAAAATAGACTGGTACTTATAACTACCCTCTAGTAGACATGTGCCAGCAATCACTGGCTCCTGAAGTAATTTAAAGTAATACCTTTGAGTTTTGTTTCTTCACCAGTTTCCTCTTCTTCTACTTCTTCAACATCATCCAAATCTTGATCAAGTTCAGACTGTTCTTTGCTATAATATCATAGTATCACACCAAGGTTCAAATGTACCAATTACCAAAAAAAGTTACAGAAAAACTTAAAATTCATTTTCAAAATTAGTATCTCTTTCAAAGACATGAAATAGGAAATTCAAAAGGTAATTCCGTTTTCTAACTTCATATGTAAACAAGTACACACTGGAAGTGCTTACACTTTCATTAAAAGCATCTGGTCAAATGTAAAGTTTATACTTTTGAAGCTTTATAAAATTGGTTTTGCAGGTTTTTGGGGAATGTGATGTCAACAAGTACGTGCATTCAACCGAATATCTACTGATTTTACTTTTCCTTCTTAGTAACAACATTCTCATTTTATATGAGATGGCAACACACCAAGCTAAAAGTCTACATTTCCTAGCCTACCTTTAGCTACACTATTTTGACAGCAAGATAAAAAAGCAGAAATGCTGTATTTCTTTGAGGAAGTATCCTTAACAGGATGGTAGATAGCTGGGAAGCCTTTATCTTAATCCCTCTCCCCCTCCCACTTAGAATATGAATGTGATGGCTCAAGCTCCAGCAGCCACACTGGACCAGGAGGCATCCTAGAGAATGAAAGCCACCAGCTAAAGAAAAAGGAGTTAGGAAAACAGAAGAGTCCTGGATCCCTTATGGCTGTGGAGCAACAATACTAGCCTATACTATCTTTGGAGTTTCCTTTTCTTTACTTCACAGTGGAGGTGAGAAAGAATAAAGTGAAGACTTCTGAGTCTAGCTCTTGTTTAGAACAAAGCCAAGATGATAGCACCATTCAAAGAGAAGGTTAAAAATTAATAAGATAGCATCCTTCCCATTTCATCTTAAAAAAAAAAAATCACCAAAAATCTAATTATTGAACATGAGATTACATCTAGCATTAGAAAGGAAAATAAGGATTCCTAAGTCAATGTAAAACATCATTGTATAATTCCTGTGTAAATTTTTTATTTTAACATTTGGATTAGAAATGTAGTTGCTTTTGTGTCTAAACAGCATTTGAAAAATTAATTTTCCACAGGGACAAATAATGACTTAATTTTCATGCAAGTACAGAAAAAAATCAACTGTACTCTGCCAGCATAATTCAGTCTTCAGAAATGATACATACAATTTCTGAAAGCTTTTTTTTTTTTGGGAGACAGTGTCTTGCTCTGTCACCCAGGCTGCCTGGAGTGCAATGGCACAATCTCAGCTCACTGCAACCTCTGCCCCCCAAGCTCAAGCAATTCTCGTGCCTCAGCCTCCTGAATAGCTGGGACTACAGGAGTGCGCCACTGCACCTGGCTAATTTCTGTATTTTTAGTAGAGACAGGCTGGGCTGGTCTCAAACTCCTGGCCTCAGGTGATCCTCCCACGTCCGCCTTCCAAAATCCTGGGATTACAGGCATAAGCCACCACGCCCAGCCTATTTCTGGAAGAACTTTGATTTAGTATAAACTTTAAGTGTTTGATAAGTGTACACACTTAACGGTCACTGGTTACAGATAACTGGAGCATCTCCTCCTCTCGTGTCTTTAATCAATTGAACATCTATATCCAAAGGCTTTAAAACAGCTGTCCACAAACTATGCCCATGTGGCCAAATCCAGCCCACCCTATTATTGTAAATAAAATTTTATTGGAACACAGATGCACTACATTTATGTATTGTCTGCTTTCACACTACATCAGCAGAGTTGAGTACAGTCATCCCTCAGAGTCTATGGTGGACTGGTTCCAGGAAACCTCCCTACCAAAATCCTGGGATGTTCAAGTCCCTTATATAAAATGGCACAGTAATTACAACTAACCTATGCACATCCTCCTGCATACTTTAAATCACCTCTAGATTACTTATAATAATACTATATACCATATAAACGTTATGTAAATAGTTGTATTATGCTGGGCCAGACAAAGTGGCTCATGCCTACAATCCCAACATTCCGGAAGCCAAGGCAAGAGGATCACTGGAGGCCAGGAGTTCAAGACCAGCCTGATTAACACAGTAAGAATTCTCTATTAAAAACAAAACAAACAAACAATAGTTGTTATGTTCTATTGCTTATTTGTATTTATTATTGTGCTGTTATATTTTATTGTTTTTTACCCTAATATTTTCCATCTGCAGTTGGTTGAATTCATAGATGCAAACTCATGGATGCTGAACCCACAGACACAGAGGGCCAACTGCAGTTAGAGAATCGTATGTGGCCCAAAATGCTGAAAATGTTTACCACCAAGCCTTTTACAGAGAAAGGTTTACTGACTCTGGTTTTCAAGCACAAGACTCCCCTCTGACTTCCACCCTCCCAGGGCTAACAGGCATCCAAAATTAAATAATAAGGAAGGGGGAAATCAAGCTGTCACAACCAATTTACTCTTTTTAAAGTTTAAAATGAGAGTTGCAAAGTTAAGATGGCAGATGCCACAAACTCATCTGATCTTAATCCTTCTAAAATCTCCACTAAAATTATGATAAAGGGTTTTTTTGTTTTGTTTTGTTAGCAGGCTAACACTGAAATCAAAGAAAACAAGGGCAGCAACATTTTGGAAGCTGGAAACCAGACAAGTGATAATTTCATTGAGAGAACTGAAATCTAAGATTAGCAGTGGGGAAAGCTGAGAAGCAGCCCAATCAGTCTTCAAAAGGATAAGAACTGGTAGCACCAGGTACATTTCTAGAACTAGGGCAAGGGGTGGGACAGGAGAGAAGGTCGCTAAAACAAGAAAGTAAAAACTGATAAGCAGTTAAATCATTAGATCTTCTCTACACTAGCAGAAATATTCAGTTTCCTCTCAGGAAAGGGTAAAATTCAGAACTTGGACTGGAAGACAACAGACACAGTCAACAGTATCAAAGATATAGGACTATGTACACATTAGAATGCTAAATGTAGAGCCTCCTCTACATTTAAAGGAACACCAGAAGCCAGATCTTTACCCAGACACTGTTCAACGATGAATCTGACTAGCCCAGAAAAAAAAAAAAATGACCATTCTAACACTGGGGTTTCTAACAAATGCCCACTCTGGTGACCCTACACTGAAATCCCAAATTAACAAGCCTCCCCACTCCAACGCTCAAATTTTCCAATCAATTTTCTTTTTTAAACATGTCTGAAGTGTCCCTACACCCCACCCAATCCAATCTTAATGAGCAGCCAACCAAGTATTGATTTATATTTGAGGAAAGCATCCTAGATTGAGACCAAAACAAATGAGAGAAAGAAAATGTAAGAGCAAATGGACTATAAAGATGGAAGAAACATCCAGAGAAAAGACATTATCATCAATGAAACAAGAAGAGGATGCTATTTAAAAAAAAAAAAAAACAAAAAAACAGGAAGAACGAAGCAGGTCTTGGAAACTAAAACAACAGAAATTTTAAAACTCAACACAAGCTGAAAGTCTTCAGTTCTGTCCAGAAAGAAGAGCAAAGAGACAGAGATGGAAAATAGGACAAAAGGTCATGAGAGCAATCCAACACACAACATCTAATAGTAGCTCCAGAAAGAGAAAACAAATGAGACAATCACAAAGTTCAATCAAGAATATCCCTGAACTAAAAGCCACTGAATTGCTGCACTGAAAGGGTCCACCACTGAATATGTAACATTAAGAGAAAAAAATAATAATGTGAAAATTTCAGAACTCTGAAGCCAGAGTAGCTTCCAGAAATGTATATATAGTGTAAATGTACATATTTCTTAATTATCACACACAAATGGTTAGTTACAATGACTCTGAACTTCAACACAGCAACACTGGAAGCAAGGTGACAATGGAGCAATGCCTTCAAAATTCTGAAGAAAAATGATCCCATCTTACTATCCTACACCCAAACTATCCGGCATAAAGGTAGAATAGTCGTTTTCAGTCATGACATGTCTTAAAATAATTTAGCTCCCTTGTACTCTTCCAAGAAGGTACTAACAAACCGAGAAAGCAATGTGAGATATGGCAAACAACAAACCCAAGAGGAGAAACAAGGTGAAACCTCAGGAAGATAGTAAAATAGATCCAATGACAGCCATGTCACCAAGGTTAAGCAATCCAAATTAGAGGTGTGACACAGGAGACAATCACTTTGGGAACCATTATTATTAAAAATGCCGTTTCCACTCTTCTCGTTTTTTTTAATGCTGAAGACAGAATGCATAAGTCACTCATCTGTTTTTTTTTAATGCTGAAGATAAAATGCGTAAGAGTGGCCCAAATTCTTATTTGTACTTCTATGTGTTGATCTTGTACTGAAGTTTCCAGCCCTCCCACTATCATTCGCTGATGCCTACAACAGCTATGGAAAATAATTTAGCATCCCCTCACTCCCAAGTGCTCTATTTTAACACGGGCTACTGTAAAATTACACGCAACAAACACTGTGTACCTCATCCCATTCTTCCTGACCCTGTTTCTATAAAACATCCATCCACATTAGAATCCTGCCACATGCCAACTTGATTAAACCTATACTTCCCAGGACACATGACCTTGCCCAATACTTCTCCACAATAAGTCTTTTATAAAGCCTCACAAAACTTGAGGCCAGACTATGACCCAGATAGTCTTTCTTCCTTGTTATCCTATCTTATAGCCTTCAATTAACAGTGGCAAAGTGGCAATGTTGCTTTACATAGCTAACTTTGTGATCACTATTCAGATTTTCAAAATTAAACACTGATTATTTATAGGTGGTAAAGCTCTGAAGGAAAGCAAAGAAAAGAATTAGCAAAAGCCAGGATAGCACTTACATGTCTGCAAGGGAAAGGTGCAATTGAGAAGGGGCACACAAGGCTTCTGATAGTAATGTTCTATTTTTAACTTGTCTGAATATTCCTTAAGCTCTATATATAAATACATTTTATACACATTTTGGGTGTTTGGTACATTACAATGCAAGCAGTAAATCTTTGGGAAATATATACAATAAAAATGAATTCTGCAAGTATTTATAATCCATTATCATGCTCAGCATTTTCTTAAAAATAGTGACAAATGGTTTAGTATATACGATGGTTTCGAATATATGATCATAAATATGCTAATGATCATATATTCTATATTTTACCTTGAATACACTGCACTAGACTTTTGTAAAAGTAGGTACTAAGCATTAGTAACTACATTTTCATAATATATAATTCATACTACTTGCTGTTAAGAACAGAGTACAAAGTGATGCCAAATCTCTGAAAAAGAACCAACTCTCTGCCACTTACTTGTCAATGTCTGCCATGTTGTAAGAACTCCAAATATCTATGGAGAGAAACATCAATGTTAAAAAAAAAGTATATGATTTATTAAAAAAAAATAAGAAACCAAAACCCTTTAAATCAATACCATACTGAAAACTATCCCAAGAAATGTCTATTTCCTTTAAAATACTATCAGTGTTAAGAAGAAAAAACTCATGGAACATGCAAATTCTTCCTTACTAGTACCAAAAATAATTTTTCAGAGGATATTACTTAAAACAAAAAAGTTACCACTAAGCTTTTAGAATCTGTTGTATAAAGACTATGATAATAGCACCATTGGTTAAAAACAAAACTAACATTTGCTAGAATCATAGGAAAGGAACAGTACAAAAGGATCTTCATTCAAATTCTTTCAACAATCAAGAAAGGTCAATTTCTGCTTAAATTTTTAGACTACGTAGCATCTTAAATCCATTTATCCATTTCGTATTTAGCAATATTCATTTTATGTAATTCATGTTTAAGAAAACCAAAATCTGATGCCTACTGTACTCACTATGCCCTCTGGATATCTTTTTAAAAGACTTAATCCCTGGATCAAATAGCCATTTAGACTATTTCAAAAGCTCTAGGTCCCAATCTTAATGTTAGGTAAGCCTTCCCTATCTCTCCAAATGTACATGTACCTCATGTTAGATAACTGACAACCACCAACCTCCAGCTTCCCCTAGATATGCTAGGGACATTGTCAAGACTTGTGGTTACCAGACCTGAGTAAGTTTACTGTTAAGACTCACCAGAGGATATCCTAAGTTCCTTCTCACTAAAAGATTAGTATGAACCTGGAGAATACTGCTTTTGGAAAAACAAATCTTAAAGCAGATGTGTTATATCCAGGCAGAAAAAAATGGTAGAATGCCACAGGTAATCTACAGATTACCAAAAAAAACTAAACCAAGTTTAGATAGAATCCATGTTAAAATCAAGTTTATCTTAGCCAGGCACAGTGGCACGAGCCTGTAATCCCAGCTGCCCAAGAGCCTGTAATCCCAGCTGCCCAAGAGACAGGAAGATCTTTTGAGCACAGGAGTTCAAGGCCTGCCTGGGAAATACAGCAAGACCCTGTCTCTAAAAAAATTATGAATAAATAGAATCAAGTTATCTGGTAAAAATTAAAATCTTAATACATATTTAATTCACAAAATCCTGCATGTGTTTACTTTCATAGCAACGTATTATGCCTATGAACAAAGAGTTAAAAATGGAAAACATCCTGATTTTAGCAGTTAAGTGCTAATATTTGGGGGAAACATTATTACTGACCTAGTATCTATCCTTTAGAGTAATTATAAAGAAAATTATTCTTCCTAATGTATCTAACTCTGTAAATATTTTGTATTTGTTATAAATAATTCCTAATAGTACTGATGAATTTTTCTAGTGATGCTGGGTAATGAGTCAGCATTTACAAAGTGTTTAGCAATTATGAATATTAATCAAAAATAAGAAAAATACTGAACTCTGACATCAAAGAAATCCAAGTAGGATTCCAGTTTGTCTACCACATCATCAATAACTTCTTTTTAATACAGGGAAACCTGTAGTGCACATGCATCCTTATTTCCAGCTAGTGTTCCCGTATCTTTTCTGGAGAGCAACCTGACAATAGGAATATCAAAAGCCTTAAACATGTCCATCTCAGCCAGGCACCATGGCTCACACCTGCAATCCCAGCACTTTGGGAGGCCGAAGCAGAAGGACCGCTTGAGGCCAGGAGTTCAAGACAAGCCTTGGCAACACAATGAGACACTGTCTCTTAAAAACATAAAAATTAAAAAAACAAAATATGTCCATCTCCAGATTTATTCACTTATGAGCTCTACCATGAAAAAATTATAAAGAATCTAATGCCTTTGCTTTCCATGTTCACCTAGAAGGTTCTTCCACAGCTCTGAACAAGTCCTGCACATCCTTTGGCTCTCATTTCAAAGTTTCACTCCCCAGAGATGCTTTCTCCAACCTGCACATTCCGGTTAAGTAAGATTTCTTGGTTGTACACACACTCCTATAAAGCTTTCTTTTCTTTCCACCATAAGATGTCTCAGTCTGTAATTATAAATTAGTTTGACCTATGGTCTGTCTCTCCCAACTGACAAAATTCATGATTACAGGAATTAAATCTGATCTTGACAATCATAGCGTTGTCTTCTTTGGGGTAGCACACAAAGCTTATTATAAACTTAGTACTATAATGGAATATGCAAAAATGGAATGCTTTGCAGTCACAAATGAAACAGATCTGAGTTGATATGAAGGAACACTAAAGCAAGGTATAGGATGTATGCCGAAATCCCCTTTGGATATGGAAATATATATATATATATATATATATATATATATATATATATATATCTCCACTCATATACGCACATACTTTAATACAAATAAACCCTTTCTGAAAACAAACACCAAAAACCTAACCAGAGTAACCTAATGAGAAAGAAGGGACTGGGGGTAATGAGAACTAATTTCCCATTCACCATTACAGTCATGTGTGGATTATATGTTCTGAGAAATGTGTCTCTGGGTGATTGTATTGTTGTTCAAACATCAGAGTATACTTACACAAACCTAGATGGTATAGCCTACTACGCACCTAGGCTATGATATAGACTATTGCTCCCAGGCTACACACCTATACAGCATGTGACTGTATTGAATACCATAGGCAACTTTAATATAATGGCTAAGTATTTATGTGGTGCATGACTGCATTTGGTTTTCCAACACACAGATTTATATAATAATTTCCAATACACAAATTTATTCTGAGATTTGCTAGGTTTAATATATAGTGTCTACTAAACCCAGCAATTGTCAAAAACAGAAACAAAACCTAAAACTTCCAAATTTAAATTTTTGTAACATTTTAATGTGTTCACAGAATGGCTACACTGCTAACCTCAATGTCCATTTGCAGCATTACATTTACAGTTTAAATTCTTAAAATGAAACTTTAGTAAAGAGGATCCAAGACAGAACATTTACAGAACATTAACAGGAGGCATTTACTCCTCCAGAGAAGGCTGCTCTAACCTGCCCATTCTGGCTACATTGTATTTCTTGGTTGTAAGATAGACCTAATTTTCTAGTCAGTTGTAGTCAGATCATTTGGGCTGACATCAACTTTGTAGCAATCTACAAACTAAGACAAACAACTTCTGGCTCTATTTCATCATCTATATAAAGCAGAAAAACATCTGAGGAAGTGGGACCCAAAAATCTGCATTCTAAACAAGAAACTCAGCTTCTGAGAGGTGGTTCTCAGGTAGACCACATTGAGAAACACAAGTTTAGGTTAATACCTGTATTAATATTTTACTGCAGTTGACATTAAATAAAATCAGTGAGAATCTTATTTGTTATACATTAAATTGCATTCCAAGATCTCTGTGAAAAACTTTCATTCCTGAAAGCGACAAACTAGATTATGCAGATCAATTCTACCAATGAAAAATATGGCCGGACGCAGTGGCTCACGCCTGTAATCCTAGCACTTTGAAAGTCCAAGGCAGGCGAATTGCCTGAGCTTAGGAGTTAGAGACCAGCCTGGGCAAAATGGTGAAACCCAGTCTCTACTAAAATACAAAAAATTAGCCGGGCGTGGTTGCACACACCTGTAGTCCCAGCTACTCAGGAGGCTGAGGCAGGAGAATTGCTTGAACCCAGAGGAGGAGGCTGCAGTGAGCCGAGATCACACCGCTGCACTCCAGCTTGGGTAAGAGCAAGACCCTGTCTCAAAAAAAAAAAAAAAAAAAAAGGAAAAGAATTAAAAGTACAGATGTTTTTTAACAAAAACATTTTGTTAAAAATCTTAAAAGCACTGAAATGCTAACAAGATAGTAAGGAATCACCAGCCCAAAACTGAGGGCAAAACAGGAGCAGAAGGAAGGCACTTTTGCACTGAGGTCAACTGCCAATTATCAGCAACGTGAACTTTGGTTTTAACCAAAGTTAAAATTCTGGGCCTGTCCACGGTGGCTATCTTTATGGTAACCCTCCCAAATTAAGCAGGAACCCCAAAATGCTATATCCTCAAGAATAAATTCATTCTCCTGGACAAACAGCCCAAATTTACCTCATCTGTATTGCCCTCCAAACCCCAAGCTATGTACTTAAAATGATCTGTCCCTGGTATATTCAGACACCTGTATATCAAAATTAAATGAAAGCTTCCTTCTAGACCTTAAAAAATTCATACAAGTAATTTTCACAGCCAACAGGAAAAACAGAAAATATAACAGAAATCAATCCTACACAAAGACTTAAAAATTGTCAGACTATAAACAAATACATACCTACAGACATAGTAAGCCTGGTTGTCTTTGATCTAAGTTTGAAAACACACTGTCTGCAAGGAAGTCATCTATTAAAGGTGATATAACAAAATTTGGAAAACTAGAACTTCTAGAAATAAAACTAATGAATCAAACTAAATGGGCTGGCTTAAGAGTAAGATACACAGCTGAAGAGAGAATTAAGTGAGCTGAAATGAAGCCTAGAAGAAAACTTTGAAAATATGGCAGAGCCACAGAATCTAAAGGACTGAAAATACTGAAATGAAAAGACATGTTAAGATCCAATGAAGCCTAATAAAGACTTCATACAAGTTCTGGGAGCAGGAGGACAGAATATTTGAAGAAGTTAATACGCAATAATTTTCCATTTCCTTAAGTGATGAAAGACACCAATCCACAGATTCAAGTAGCCCTACAAATCAAAACCATAAAATAAAGAATCCATATATATATATACACACACACACACACACATATATTTATCCAGCTCCGGATACATCAGTAAAAAGGCAAGATAGCAAAAACAAATTCATCTCAAAAGCACACACAAAAAAGGTAGATTAACTTCAAAGGCACAAAAAGACTGACAGCTGTCTTCTCTTCAATAAGACACTAAAAGACAACAGAATCCTCAATATGTTGAAAATAACTAAGGCTCTTAAAATACTATCCCCAACCAAAACATCTTTTAAGAATGAAGGTGAGGCCATGTGCGGTAGCTCACGTCTATAGTCTCAGCACTTTGGAAGGCTGGGGCAGGAGGATCGCTTGAGGCCAGGAGTTCAAGGCCAGCCTGGGCAACACAGATCATCTCTACAAAAAATTAACATGCCTGCTGTAGTCCTAGCTACTCGGGAGACTGAGGCAGGAAGATCACTTGAACCCAGGAGTTTGAGGTTACAGTGAGCTATGATCGTGCCACTGCACTTCAACATACCTCCTTAAAAAAAAATCTGTAATGTAAAAGACAGTTTCAGAATAAAACACTAATCAGAGTTGGTATCACGTATTAATGTCAGGAAAAAATAGACTTCAAGGAAAAACATTAAGATAAAAAGGTCACTTTATAATAAAAGGTTCATACATATATGGTGTGTATAAGATCTCAAAAGACATAACTGACCCTAAAAACATGCTTGAAGGCATTTTTTTTTTTTTTTTGGAGACAAGGCTTTGCTCTATTGCCCAGGCTATAGTGCAGTGGCGTGATCACAGCTCACTGCAGCCTTGACCTCACAGGCTCAAGTGATCCTCTCACCTCAGCCTCCTGAGTAGCTGGGACTACAGGTATGCATTCTCCACCACACTCAGCTATATTGTTTTAATTTTTTTTGTAAAGACAGGGTGTCTCACTATGTCGCCTAGACTGGTCTGGAAATTCTGGGCTCCCGCCTTGGCCTCACAAAGTGCTGTGATTGATTACAGGTGTGAGCCACCACACCTGGCCTCCTGAAAGGAAATCTTCCTTCCTAAACTGAACTAAAAACAAAATCTTCCACTGAAGAGGGGAGGCAACTGACTGAACTAATTGGATACATAGAGCTGACATAAGGCTAAGAAACCATTACCCAACTGCAGTCACATAACGTTTCAGTCAACACAGGACTGCATATACAACAGTGATCCCACAAGATTATAATGGAGCTGAAACATTCCTATTGCCTAGTAATGTCACAGCTCAATTCATTATTCATGTTTGTGGTGATGCTGGTATAAACAAACCTACTGCAGAGTCATATAAAAGTATGGCACTTACAATTATTTACAGTACATAATACTTGATAAGGACAATAAATGATTTATTGGTTTATGTATTTACTATACTATGCTTTTTGTGGTTAGAGTACACTCCAACTTATTTTTAAAAAAGTTAAAACTGCCTACAGTATTCAACATAGCAACATGCTATACAGGTTTGTAGCCTAGGAACAACAAACAGGCTATACCATATAACCCAGGTATGTACTAGGCCGTACCATCTAGGTTTGTGTAAATACATTCTATGACATTCACAAAAGGATGAAATGGCTTAATGATGCATTTCCCCCAGAACACATCCCCATCATTAACCATGCATGACTGTGTATGTAAACAAATTCTATGCTGGAAGAAGACTTCATGACCATAACTGCTATACAGCTTTTCCCTAGAGCACAGTGGGATACAAGGTGGAGTGCTTTTGAATTTCATGCTGCTATGGTTTGAGTATTTGTCCCCTCTAAAACTCAAGTTGAAATTTAATCCCCTATGTGGCAGCACTGAGAGATGGGGGTCTTTAAGAAGTGATTGGATCATGAGGGCTCCACCCTCACAAACGAATTAATCCATTCATGGATTAATGTATTTCTTTATAAATTACCCAGTTTCCCACCAGGGGAGCTGGAGAGCCAAGCTACCCAGTTAGCACACTCAGCCCCCTCCCCATGTGATACCCTGTACTGCCTTGGGAACCTTCAGAGTCTCCACAAGTAAGGTTCTCACCACATGGGTCCCCTCGATCTTGGATTTCTCAGCCTCTATAACTGCAAGAAATAAATTCTTTTTTTTTAAATAAATTACTCAGTTTCAGGTATTCTAAGCAACAGAAAATGAACTAATATTCATGCTGATTTATAGCAGAA
Source organism: Homo sapiens (assembly GCF_000001405.40). Lineage (NCBI taxonomy): Eukaryota > Metazoa > Chordata > Mammalia > Primates > Hominidae > Homo > Homo sapiens. The sequence continues at coordinate 76,081,161 of NC_000012.12, forward strand.
CAGTGTAAGTCAACATTCTTTCAAAACCAGGATAAAAATTATCTCATCATAAGTTATCACTGCTCACGTACGTAACCACGGACGGGTTATCTAACCACTCCACACCTATTTTTTTTCCTTGTTAAAATGTTGATGCTACCTGTCTCTAAGTAAATTAAATGAGCTAATAATACACACAGAATTTAAAACAATGCCTGAATAATCAATCAGTGTTGCCTATTACATTATTTATCCCTGTTATGCTCTTCTGTACCCTCTTTAGAAAATAATTCCAAGACTGAAATTATAACTCTAGACAGGTGTGGTGGCTCACACCCATACACTCAGCACTTTGGGAGGCCAAGGCAAAATCGCTTGAGGTGAGGCATTTAAGACCAGCCAGGGCAACACAGCAAGAGCCTGTCTCCACAAGGAAAAAATATATATAACCCTGTTTCCCAATAAAAATTAAAATGTACAAAACTTCTGAATAAGTAAAAATATATACAAATATGCAGGAAGTAAAAGGCAGAGTTGGTAACCAAAGGTATAGAAGCCATTTTCTATGGCAAGCCCACTAATGTACTCTAATGTTCTGTAGTCATTGTGCTAAACGACTTACATATGGATAGGTGTAAAGTAACAACTCTCTCCTTCTAACCCCTATTCTGCCCAAAAACTTATTTAGATGAAACTAGTTTGAAATGGAACTTAAAATCATCAAATTATAACAGGTTCCTTTGTGTAAACGCTGTATTACTCTTTGACCCCTTTACCCTTTCCTTCCTTTATAGCTCTCATCACAATTTAACATTCTACATCTAAGCAACCAATTTGCCTCTTTTGCTCATGACATAAGATACATGTCCATACAGGTGCTAGATAGTTACCCAAAGACTAAACTGAGAACACAATTACAGGTTTGATTAAACTTGAAGATCTGAATACACTGATCATTAATATTTTGATATTGATGAGTCATTCTCTCTAATCCTTTGTTTCAAATTTACAACCAAGAAGTGAATAAAATATTGTATTTTGACATCTTCAGACCTTTGAAGTCCAACAGATACTGCTTCTTTAGCCCCTTCTACAAAAAGACCCTTAGTTTTGAATATATTTTGAGAATTTAGAATCAACTCAGTTTTACCAGGAGCCAACAGGAGCAAGCTGAATAAAATGAGATGGCATTTTGGATTACATTAGTTATGGTACAGGTATTCGTTTCAAAAATCTCATTAAAGGCCAAGTGCAGTAATTTACCATATTCAGTATTAGCTTTATAATTCTGCAAATCAATGGGCCTAATATAAAAATAGGCACTTTGTAGCAGATAAAATTTAGAAAGATATTCAAATTGGTATAGTGAAAACTTTTAAATTTCTATTTACTAACATAATGTTGACTTGGAGAATCTATGAAAGTCAGGTTTTATGACAGAAGATGTCCAAGTCCACCTACCAGGGTTTAGTTCCATACATTCTCCAAAGGACAGTATTCTTAGAACTAAACTATAGATTTAGGCCATTTATTTAAACTTGGGCAACTTCAAACAAGCTTGAAACACAAGAGTGCCTTGAAAATAACTGTAAAAGTCATTTACTTCCCTTCGATTTTTAAATGGTACCCTATACATAAAAGGTTTTTCCCTTATTCAATCAAAGGTAATGTATATTACTTCCAAAGTATAGGAGTATTAATTTAAGCTGACCAAAAAAAGAGGACCCAGATACTCGTTTCCAAAGATGTTTTGAATCCACCTATTTTCAAAAGGCCAAATTTCATTTTACAGCTCTTGTGAAACCAGGCAAGCAGTGTAAATTTTAAAATGCAGCAGTGGGATATCTTCAAATGTAGCAGTGAGATTTTTAAAATGTAGTTGTTTCAAAACTGATCAGTGACCGTCTAAAATACGGGCTCCTTGAGGACATCCTGCGCCTGGTTCATCCTTTTTGCACTCTCAAAGTCTAGCCTTCCCAGATGGGACCTCAGTCCCAGCCCCCCTACACTGCCATCCCCCAGATCTTTAGGGCAGTAGGGTTCATTGACAAGGTTGCAGGCTACAAACTTGGCAAAGTTTATACTAACACCTCATTCCATCCCACCTCCCATCTTAAAAAGGAAACCGTTAAGTATCTTATTCTAGTGACTTCAATAAAGGAACTAATTTATAAGACAGCCAAGAACAATTAAAGTCATAAAGGGCCAAACATTTTATTTTCATCTAAGAACCGTTTGCAGGGGTGGTCCGATCTTTTGGCTTCCCTGGGCCACACTAGAACTGTCTTGGGCCACACGTAAAATACATTAACTAGCTGATGAGCTTTTTTTTCCAAAAAAAAAAAAAAAAAAAAAACCTCATGAATTTGTGTTGGGCCACATTTAAAGCCGTCCTGGGCCGCGGGTTGGACAAGCTTGGTTTAGGGGTTTAGATCGATCAGGATCAATACTCCCCAAATAAAAAACCCTGATCAAGACACCCATCTAACAGTACCTGGGAAACACAATAACAACCTTTTGCTAATAACAGTTAATATAAGCGCTATATACGCGTTAACTTTTTAAAATACTAGCAGTGGAGGCCCTTCCTTATCATCAGCTAACATCCACAATCTCTGGTACCAATAAAAAGATTAAGACCAAAGAGAAGCAGGGAAGAGTTTGAAACCCAGGGACAGGGCTTACTCGCTTACCCTTCCTTTTCACATTCCACCGTCTCTACAACTTTCAAAGTAAGCACAGACCGAGGGCAAGGGTCTCCAACCAGGCCCAGCCAGTGGCCATGAAGCCCATTACCACGTGTGGAGCGAAGCCGCCGGGGGTTTCCCCTCCCCGCGCGGCCGCCCCCAATGGGCGGAGAGCCCGGGAGCGTCGCAGCCTCCCCCGCCCCCTCCCCGCCTCGGGGACTCGTCCCTCCACAGCCCCTCCCTCCCGTCGGAATTCGCAGCCTCCGCCGTTCTTTTCATCTCCCAGCGGCCTCCCTCCTGGTATTATTTTTGAGGGAAAAGCAGGGGGGTGTCCAAGAGGCGGCCGGCTCTGCACTCGGCCCGGCCCGTACGCCGGGGGCCTCCCGGTCCTCGCGGCGCAGCCGAGTCTCAGGGCACCCGGGCGTCACCGCGGCCTCGCTCCGGTCCACGCGGAAAAGACGGTGGAGCTCAGAGAACCTTAGGCCTCCAGGCCGCGCCAACCCCTACGTCGCCTCAGCCGTCCCCGATAAAAGCGCTGGTCGGCCCCGGGGCCCCTCTCAGGCTCCGGGGTCCGGACTCCGCGGTCCTGTCCGACCTCACAGGACGACCCCGGAGGCCACGGGCGGCCAGCGGCCCCGACTCCCGGCTCCCAGTCCCTCCATCCCTCCGGCCCTCCCATCTGCGCAGGCCGCCCAGCCAACACCACGTTCCCCCTTCCCTTCCAGGCCCCCATCCGTTACCGGCGACTAGTATGGGGAGCCAGGCGGCCGGAGCTGCGCAGGCAGTGACTCAGGGCGGCAGCGGCAGCAGCAGCGGGAGGAGCAGGAGGCGGCGCCGCGAGCAGATGGCGCTAAAAAAGACCCAAGAGCCCGCCGCTCGCGCTCATATACAATTAGCGTCAGCACGTAGGGCCCTTTCGCCGCCCTCCTCCCGGCCTTGTAGTCTCCCAGCAACGCGAGCGAGAGGCGGGTCCAGGCCGGGTTGCCTAGCAACTGAACCGTCCTCCTTCCCCGGCGACCTCCATACCCCCACCGAGGACTCCTGCAGCCCCGAGGCCCAGGCGCCGCGCTTGGGCTCCTCTGGTTCCCGCCGGTGTCTAACCTCCTCTGTTAAGCACCCCACCATATCTTTTCTCCCTGCTGAGCCGGAAAGGAAATTTCAACCCCATCAGTTGTGGGGAAGGCCTGGCCCGCGTGCCCGGCGCCCGGCCCGCCCCGCCCCCTTCGGCGTTGTGCTGGGAACGCTCAGGGCTGGCGCCAGTCGCCTGGTCCCTCGCTCGCCGCAGCCTAGACGGCGGACGCTCCCTGTCAAGGCCTAATTCCTGCAACTCGCCGGCCCCCGGTAACCGTTTTCCTTCCCCGCCTAAGAAAAACAGTTTTTTCCTCTAGACCACTTCGGCGGCCTCTTCTGACAGTTTTGCTTCTCCTATGCCAGCGGGTCTCCGCGCCTTTAGGGGGTGCTCGTCATCCTTTGCCCCCCAACCCCCCGCCACATCCTCGTAACTGATGTACAGTCCGTCAGTTCGGCTTCAGTTCTTTTGACGGATGAAAATGGCATATTTGTGCATTCTCTGGATGCGTTATAATGAGGACACTCAGTACGTCCGTTGTTTCATCTTTCTGAAAAAGTAAATCACATTAAATCCTCAGGCTTGTAAAACCTCATAGCTAATTTTCAAGTGATGATGAATTGACTAATACTAACTCAAAAAGTTGTTCTCAGAGTATGGTCTGAGGGTCCCCAGACCCTTTCATGGGGAAGGTCAAAACTATTTCCATATTAATGTCAAGACTGCCTTTTGCATTCTCATTCTCTCACAAGTGTACAGTGGGGTTTTCCGGAGGCTACGTGACATGTGATAAGGAAACAGACTGAAAATAGAAGCAGATAGGAGAATCCAGTCATCTGCGGTTAAACCAGACGTTAAAGAGATTTGCAAAAACTCGATTTGGGGGCAAGGGGGAGTAGTTATTTTTCATATAAAAATTATTTTTTGTTAATATTTGATTGCTTTATTGTTTTTAAATGAAATACTCTTAAAATTTCTCACTTTTAATTTCTGATATAAATATCAGTATCAGTAATGCACATAAAAGTTCTTTGGGGTCCTCAACTTTTAAAGGAGTGTAAAGGAATCCTAAGACCACAAAGTTTGAGAACCTCTTCTCTAAATCTTGCATTTATTGAAACTTCAAACTGCCTAGAATCCCCTATTGTAATCCACACATTTAGCAACTTTATCTTCCGTTTTAGGGGATACAATGTTTTCCTTGGCCCTCCAGAACCTCATTGAAATTATTTGCCTTCCCACTCTATACTGCAGACGACTCTGTTTATTCATTCATTTTAGTTTTTCATATACAATTCCTTTGTTGTTCTCATAGCCTATTCCTGTACACCCTTCTCAACAATGATGTAATGATACAAGGAGCATAATAGCATCAATAATGGATCTTCAGGAAGAACCCACTATACATAAACAAGGTAGACCAGTGCTCAGTTTGAACATAAATTTGACACATTAATTTCAATAAGAACTTCAGGAATGTTGCATTTTAATCAAAGCTGTGCACGATGCAAGGTAATTAGCATATTAAAATGAACTAAATAACTTTCACTTTCTTTCCATAAATCTTTATGGTAGCAGAATTTCTGAGACAAAATTGAGAAGTTAGCTTTTGTGGTGGTTTTTATCCCACACCAGAGAGCCTCATCAATTTTCGGCACTTCGCTCATGAAGGCTCTGGATTTTTTAGGTTTCACCACCCCCCCACCAACCCCTATAACTTAGGTGTTATCATTACCAGTACATATGCTCTTTCCCCCTTTTCTCCAGCTTCCTCTTCTTTTTTCAGTGTATCCTAGCCAATCTAAGAAACTAAACAATAAAATATTTCTAATAATGCATGCCTTTGTAATATAGTCTTTTGAACCAGTTTGTAAATCTAAGTCTTTGCCATTAAAGTTCAGGGAAGGGCAGACATTTATGCATTCATTCAACAAATATTTATGTCAGGCACAACTTCGGACTCTGGAAATACAGCATTTAGTAAGAAAGACACGGTTCTTGATTTTATTGAAGTTATGGTCTAGTGAGGTGAGGCAAATGATTAGAGATAAAATAATTTTACTAATAAAATATTAGTAATAAAACAATTTCACTTATCAATAATAAATAATTGATAAGTGAATGCTATAAAGAAAATAAAATGAGAAAAGGGGTAGGAGGTGACTGACCTGAAGATACCTTTGAGCTTTTTTTTTTTTTTTTTTTCGACGGAGTCTCACTCTGTTGCCCAGGCTGGAGTGCAGTGGCGCGATCTCGGCTCACTGCAACTTCTGCCTCCCGGTTTCAAGCAATTGTCCTGCCTCAGCCTCCCGATTAGCTGTGACTACAGGCAGGCGCAACCACGCCCAGCTAGTTTTTTTGTGTTTTTAGTAGAGATGGGGTTTCACCATGCTGGTCAGTCTGGTCTCGAGCTCCTGACCTCAAATGATCCGCCTGCCTCAGCCTCCCAAAGTGCCGGGGTTACAGGTGTGAGCCTCTGCATCCGGCCACCTTTGAGCTTTTTACATTGGCCCCTCTTATACCCCCAAATCACACAATGTAGTTAACTCATCTAACTTAATTGCAATAAATGGTGACCCTGGTCACTGATCTTGGGCCATGCGAAATTTTCTGTTGCAGTTCCTTTTCTCATGCTCTCTTTGGAAGCATATATACTAAAATTAAAGGTCCTTTTTTCTCTATCTCCCATGATTTTCATTTGGTAGACTTTTATAGCATTGTAGCCTGGAGGCTTAGAGGGGTGGCTTTGGAGTCAAACAGCCTATTTTGTCCCCATTTTTCTACCACTTAATAGCTGTGTAACTTTGGATAAGTCAGTTAGCCATCCCAGGTTTCATTTTCCACATCTGTAAAATGGGGAAAATAAGCATGCATTTTTCATAGGGCTGTTGTGAAACTTAAAAAAATTTTTTTTTTTTTAAGTCAAGAGGGATCTTGGTATATTACCCAGGCTGGTCTTGAACTCCTGGACTCAAGAGATCCTCCCACTTCAGCCTCCCAAAGTGTTGGGATTACAGGCATGAGCCACCTTGCCCAGCTGTGAAACTTTTGGAGACAGAGTCTCACTCTGTCACCCAGGCTGAGGTGCAGTGGCGCAATCTCGGCTTACTGCAACCTCTGCCTCCCATGTTCAAACAATTCTTGTGCCTCAGCCTCCCAAGTAGCTGAGACTGCAGGTGCGCGCCACCACATCCCACTAATTTTTTTGTATTTTAGTAGAGATGGGGTTGCACAATGCCCAGGCTGGTCTCAAACTCTTGAGCTCAGACAATCCACCCGCCTCGGCCTCCCAAAGTGCTAGGATTACAGGTGTAAGCCACTGTGCCTGGCTCAGCTGTGAAACTTTAAATAACACATTTAAGTTGCTTAACATAATGCCTGACATATATAGTGACCGCTCAATAAAAGGTAACCATTTTTAACCTCTTACTGAAGTTTTGTTTTTATTTTTGTTTTATTTAAAGGTTTAAGGAACTACCCCGAAGTCTTCTGATAGTGTCTGACACTTTTTGTGACATATTTTATTAAAAGCTATCTAGTCACAGCTTTTAAAAGACATTTTCCTGAGCTGAAATAATCCACACCAATTACCACAAAAATATTATAGTCAACATTTCTCAATATTGGATAAGAACTATGAAGATCAACAAGAAATTTGATGACAAAGATGGTATTTTACCTGTGCTTGTGTCTGTGTTTCAGCCCCTATGTAGTAGAAAAAAAAGCATAGGCTTTAACATCAGACAGGTATAGGCTCCTTCAACACTGTGACCTTGCAAAAGTACTTATCCACTCTGATCTTCAAGCTTCCCTATCTGAAAAATGCATTAATAATTATAATAAAATCTGTGTCTTTATTAGCATGAAATAGAGAAATGTATGTAAGTTCCCAGAGCAATGACTTGCCCTTTAAGTACTCAGTATTTATTTTCTTCCCTCTGAATTAATCTGTAGGTAAAACATCCAAGGGAACTAATAATAATTATCATCTAAAAACTGCACAAGATACATTTAAATAACAGTTACGTTAGTTTCAGATCTGGATTTTTTTTCTACTTTTCCCCAAATTAATTTATAGCTGCAATGTAATCAAATTCCAAGTGGAAAATTATGGATAAGATGCCTTACATTTTTCTCTCTACATTCAAAAAAAAGGATTAATAGTTTTTTTGTTTAAAAAAAAAATCTTTTTTTTTTTTGAGACGTAGTTTTGCTCTTGCTGACCAGGCTGGAGTGCAATGGTGCGATCTCGGCTCACTGCAACCTCTACCTCTGGGGTTCAAGCGATTCTCCTGCCTCAGCCTCCCAAGTAGTAGCTGGGATTACAGGCATGCACCACCACGCCTGGCTAATTTTGTATTTTTAGTAGAGACGGGGTTTCTCCACGTTGGTCAGGCTAGTCTCAAACTCCCGACCTCAGGTGATCCGCCCTCCTTGGCCTCCCAAAGTGCTGGGATTATAGGAGTGAGCCATTGTGCCTGGCTTTTTTTTTTTTTTTTTTTTTGAGACAAGGTCTCACTCTGTCACCCAGGCTGGAGTGCAGTGGTACAACTACAGCTTGACCTCCCTGGCTCAAGTAATCCTCCCACTTCAGCCTCCCATGTAGCTGGGACTACAGATGTACACCTCCGTGCCTGGCTAATTTTTTTATTTTGGGGATCTCACTATGTTGCCCAGGCTGGTCTCCAACTCCTGTGCTCAAGAGGTCCTCCCACCTCAGCCTCCCAAAATGCTGGGATTACAGGCATGAGCCACTATGCTTGCCTTGTTTAAGAATATTTTTATTTTCCTGTCATTACTTAACTGAATTTTTTATTGAAATGATTATAGATTCACATGAAGTTTTGAGCAATAACACAGAGAGATCCATGAAAACTTTCCCCAGTTTACCATAATGGTAACAATCCATGATCTTATTCAGATTTTCCCAGTCTCACTTGGATCCATTTGTGTGTTTATGGATTTAGTTCTATACAATATTACCATTTGTGGCTTTGTGTATCTGTCACCAAGAAGATACAGATCAGCTATATCGCCCAAGGATCCCTTATGTTGCCCTTTCATTCATTTATTTTTAAATTTTAATTCTTTTTTTTCCTGGACAGGATTATTGCAGTGTATGTTGACCTTTTATTATGGTCAGGGTTTTTTGTTTTTTTGTTTTTTTATATGCCAAATAATGTTCTACATTCCTAGATTTTATTTTATTTTGTTTCTCACACATAGACCACTTAGGTAGAAAATATGCCATTGTTAGGCTGGGCGCGGTGGCTCACGCCTGTAATCCCAGCACTTTGGGAGGCCGAGGCACGTGGATCACCTGTGGTTGGGAATTCAAGACCAGCCTGACCAACATGGAGAAACCCTGTCTCTACTAAAAATACAAAATTAGCCGGGCATGGTGGTACACGCCTGTAATCCCAGCTACTCGGGAAGCTGAGGCAGGAGAATTGCTTGAACCTGGGAGGCGGAGGTTGCGGTGAGCCAAGATCGTGCCATTGCACTCCAGCCTGGGCAACAACAGCGAAACTCCATCACAAAAAAAAAAGAAAATATGCCATTGTTTTGTGCGGGCCTTCAATATTTCTTACCTAAACCATTTGCAATAGCCTCACAGTTGGTCTCCCTAATACCAATCTCTTATTCCACTTCAATCTACCAAAGTTATTGCTCTAAAATATAAGTCTAATCAAGTCAGAGAAAGTTCTCTGACTCATCAAGACAAAGCTGGCTGCAAACCCTTCTCTGTTTGCGGACAACACTTGTATGTGGGTATTTATGTAGATATGTATTTATTAATTAATTCATTCATTCTTTCATTCATGAGCCCATGTTTCCTTCTCCCATAACACACACCACACTAGCCTGTTAACTGCTGCAGGGCAGTGTTATGTTTTTTACATACCCTTGGTTTAAACAGTGACTGGCCGTGAACAGCTTTCAGTAAATATTTATTTGCTTGAAAGAATGAAATGAAAGGAAGGATGCAAGGAAGAAAGGAAGGGAAGGATGGAGAAAGGAAATAAAGAGGTTATTGAAAACGAACAGGAAGTCACAATACTTCATGTAAATAATCCTTTTTTGAAGTCTATTACATCAATTCTACATTTATCATAGAGTCTATATTGGACAAATTTGACAACCTAATCTGCACAAGAAGATTTTGAATATGGTTTGGACATTGTTTGGGTTTTCGTTTGAATATTATTTGGGTATTTGTTTGGATATTATTTTCCCTCATCCATGAAACAACTTGCTGGTAAAAAGAAAGTAAAGAAATGTTGATATATTTTAGATCATAATGAATAAAGAAAACAAATTACACAGTATAATTTGGAGACAATCAGAGTGCCCATTACTGGGACAATTGAGAGTGAAATGTTGTATATGCACAACATGGAGTATTATGTAGCAGAACATTGAATGTAATATGGCAATATTGAATCTTTAAAATGTAGTGGTTGCAAAATAAAGCCACAATGAGGTACCCTTACACACCTATTAGAATTGCTCAAATTTTAAAAAATACATTAGTACAAAATGCTGACAAAGACATAAAAGAACAGGAACTCTTAACTCTGCTGGTGGGAATGCAAAATGGTCCAATCACTTCAGAAGACTGTTTGGCAGTTTCTTCAGTGGCTCACGCCTGTAATCCTAGCACTGTGGGAGGCTGAGGTGGGAGTTTTGCTTGAGCTCAGAAGTTTCAGACCAGCCTGGGCAACACAGCAACATCTTGTCTCTACAAAAAATTTAAAAATTAGCCAGGCATGGTGGTGCATGCCTGTAGTCCCAGCTACTCAGGAGACTGAGGTGGGATGTTCACTTGAGCCGGGGGGAGTGGAGGGGTGTATGTGGGGGGGTCGAGGCTGCAGTGAGCAGTCGTGTTGCTGTTCTACAGCCTGGGTGACAGAGCGTGACTCTGTCTCAAAAAAATTTAAAAATAGGCCGGCAGGCACAGTGGCTCACGCCTGTAATCCCAGCACTTTGGGAGGTTGAGGCAGGTGGATCACCTGAGGTCAGGAGTTCCAGACCAGCTTAGCCAACATGGCAAAACCCCATCTCTACTAAAAAGAGAAAATTAGCCTGGCGTGGTGACCGGCACCTGTAATCCCAGCTACTCAGGAGGCTGAGAGGCAAGAGAACCACTTGAACCTGGGAGGTGGAAGTTGCACTGAGCTGAGATCATGCCATTGCACTCCAGCCTGGGTGACAGAGTGAGACTCCATCTCAAAAAAAACAAAAACAAAAACAAAAACAAAAAATGAACAACAAAAAAATTTTAATAATAAATGAAATAAAGTTTAATATACATTTACTATATGACACAGTAATCCTTCTACTGAGTAGTTACCCAAGTGAATTGAAAACTTATGTACACACACAAACACACACACGTATACAACTTTATTTCTAACTGGCAAAACCAGGAAACAGTCAAGATCTCTCTCTGCAGGTGAGTGGATAAACAAACAGTGGCACATTTATACGATGGAAATAAAAAGAAAGGAGCTACTGATTCTGAGGTAGGAGGCAGGACTTGGCTCCAGAGGTGGGGTTTGGACATCAGGATCAAATTGAGGACTAGCTAAAACAGGTCTAGGGTGGAAGCACCTCTCCATAAGACACACCCACCAGTGTGCTTGTCAGTTTACCATTGCCATGGCAACACCTGAAAGTTACCACCCCTTTCCATGGCAATGACCTGGAAGTTACTACGCTTATTCTAGAAACTTCTGCATAACCACCTCTTAATTTACATATAATTAAAAGTGGGTATAAATAGGACTGCAGAAGTGCCTCTGAGCTGCTACTCTGGGCACACTGCCTGTAGGGTAACTCTGCTCTGGCAGGAGGAGTACCTTTGCTGCTGCTGTACCCTGCCACTTCAATAAAAGTTGTTATTTAACACTGCCACTCACCCTTGAATTCTTTCCTGGGCAAAGCCAAGATCGCTCCAGGACTAAGCCTCAATTCTGGGGCTCACCTGTCCTGCATCAATTCACTCAACAACATGGATGAAACTCAAATGCATTTTTGCTAAGTGAAAGAAGTCAGATTCAAAACTCTATATATTACAATTCCATTTCTACAGCATATGTAAAAGGCAAAACTATGAAAATAGAAAGCATCAGTGATTGCCAGGGGTTGGAGGAGAGGTGCAGAGTTGACTCCAAAGGGGTTGTAGAGGGGATTTTTTAAAGATAATGGAATTGTTCTATATTTTATAGGTAGTGGATATATGACTATATACATTGAGCAAAATCCATTTGCTATATTCAATTTTTCAGAAAATCAACCAGATGTTGGGGGATCCTAGGATGAGATGCAGACTGTGACAAATTAATCTAACTGAATTATAAACATATAATCTCACTGAGGGGGTGAGTAAAAAAGGAGCTGACTTTCGAAAACAGTATTTTGACTGGACACTATAAGGCTAAAGGCAAAAAGAGCTACACATAAACATTGCACTATAGTTGATAAATTTATTTATCAAAGAGATAATAAGCATTAGCAATTTGGAAACTAATTTCCCTGTATACTAGGAAATCTGTATTCGTTTGCTAGGGCTACCATAACAAACTGGGTGGCTTAAGCAATACGATGTATTTTCTCATAGTCCTGGAGGATGGAAATCCCAAATCAAGTTGTTAGCAGAGTTGGTCCCTTCTGAGGGCTGTGGGTGAAGGATCTGTTCCAGATCTCTCTCACTGGCTTGTAAATAGCTGTCCTCTCCCTGTGCCTCCCTCTATGTGTGTGTCTGTTTGAATTTCCCTTTTGTATAAGGACATCAGTCAGATTAGAACCCACCCTAATGACCTCATTTTAACTTGATTATCTCTGTAAAGATGCTATCTCCAAGTAAGGTCACATTATGAGGTACCGGGGTTTAGGACTTCAACATATGAATTTTAGGATAACACAATTCAACTCCTAACACTAGGGTTTGGCAAATAACTAAATAATTGTAGATAATGGGAGCCAGGTCTCTTGCTACTGGGAAAAAGTCACAAATAAGCAAGGAGAGAAGGCTAGAATGAACCATGGGGTGCTGGATTAGGGTCAGAGATAGAGGTATGAATGAATTCATGCTTATAGATAGATGATAGATGGATGATAAATAGATGGACAATAAAGATGTATATATACATAGGCTAATATATTTCCTAGCTTTGCCCACTGAGGAAGCCTAGAAGCAATGTGATATAGTTTGGATATTTGTCCCTGCTCAAATCTCATGTTGAAATATAATTCCCAATGTTGGAGGTGGGGCCTGGTGGGAGATGTTTGGGTCATGGGACAGAATCCTTCATGGCTTGAGGCTGTCCTCACCATAGTGAGTGAGGAATGAGTTCTCATGAGATCTGGTAAAATGTGGTACCTCCCCCACTCCACTCTGCCAATGTTATGCTTGCTGTACAGGCTGCAGAACCATGTGGCAACTAAACCTCTTTTCTTTATAAATTACCCAGCCCCAAGTGTTTCTTTTTCTTTCTTTTTTCTTTTTTTTTTTTTTTTTTGAGATGGAGTCTTGCTCTGTCACCAGGCTGTAGTGCAGTGGCATGATCTCAGCTCACTGGAACCTCTGCCTCCGGGATTCAAGCAATTCTCCTGCCTCAGCCTCCCAAGTAGCTAGGACTACAGGCACACACCACCATGCCTGGCTAATTTTTGTATTTTTGTATTTTTAGTAGAGTCAGGGTTTCACCATGTTGGCCAGCATGATCTCGATCTCTTGACCTCATGATCCACCTGCCTCGGCCTCCCAAAGTGCTGGGATTACAGGCATGAGCCACGGCACCTGGCCAGGTGTTTCTTTATAGCAATACAAGAACAGCCTAACACATAGTGACACCACAGTAACAACAAGCATGACCAGTTCACAAATCTTAGTTTCTAAATACCATTTCCAATTAAAGGAGGGAAAACGCAAGACGAGTCTGGAACATCTTATAGTGCTAAAAAAAAAAAAAAAAAAAAAAAAGAAAATTATAAAAGTAGGAGAGAGGTCAAAAGGACACCAGAGGCAATTGGAAAGAGTTCCCCAGTGGCCAAAGCTGGAACAATTTCAGCAAAAAAACAAAAACAAAAACAAAAAAACCCAAAAAAACCAACAAAACAGTGATAGTATTGGATTATAATTCAGAGAGTAAAATAAATATCCATGAGTCCATAATGATATAAGTATTATTGAATAAATACTTAAGTGATAAAGGGAGAAATTTATCTTATAGAAGAATTCTAGGCTTGGCGCAGTGATTCACGTCTGTAATCCCAGCAACCTGAGATGCCAAGGCAGGCGGATCACCTGAGGTCAGGAGTTCGAAACCAGCCTGGCCAACATGATGAAACCCTGTCTCTACTAAAAATACAAAAATTAGCTGGGCACTGTGGCAGGTGCCTGTAATCCTAGCTGCTCAGGAGGCTGAGGCATGGAGGATCGCTTGAACCCGGGAGGTGGAGGTTGCAGTGAGCCGAGATCACGCCATTGCACTCCAGCCTGGGTGACAGAGCAAGACTCCATCTCAAAAAAAAAAAAAAAAGAATTCTAAAGAATATATGTAGACACTCCTCTCTAGGAGATAGAGATTAATCCTGTCCTTTTGGTTGTGGTATGGAATTACAATGACTCACTTTCAAAGAAAATAGTATGGAAATGGAAAAATATTAACTTTATAGTGAAGAAACCTGGCAAACACTACCTTAACTAAATGATCAAGGTTAACATTATGAGTTATAAGCCATGTTGGCATCAAGTACATCATGATATAATGGGGTGAGATGAACATCTTTACTAATTAAATACAAACACATATTATACACATTATAATTGGAATAGAAGATAATGGGAGTGAAGTACAGAAATAAAAGGGAATCAATTTATTGATCAAGGGGGGACTTATCGGAATGGGAAGAATTATAGAATAAGTTAAAAAAAAGTGGAAGGTAGCTATGCACCTTTCGCCAATAACAGAAGTTCAATACTTCATTTCTCAATATTCCATCTCTGCAGGATCAAATTGTGATTCTCTTATATTTCAAAAGATTAGTTCTTGAAGGTAGAAGGAGCAAAAAGCAGTAAAATTAGATTTGTCATTAATCGTAATGCTAAGTAAATTTGAGCAATTAGAGCAAACTAGAAATAAAATCTGGAAATAAAGAAAAATCAAGTCAATGGCAACAGTAATAACCACTGACACCACTTCTCTGTGCCAGACACTATTCTAAAGAGTTTTGCAAATACTAACTGATAGAATCCTCACAACAACCCTATGATATACTGTTATTATCTCTGTGTCATAGATGAGGTAGTTGAGACTCGGAGAGATCCAGCACCTGTCTCCACACCATATTAGCCACTAGTGGCAGAGTTAGGATCAGAATACAGGCAGCTTAGCATCAAATCAGACCCTGAGCCTGTGACTCCATCCTTTCCAGTTAAAGGCATAAGAGGGAGTCCCAGAATTCAAGGAAATCACTGCAATATAAACAGACAAGTAAACAAACTGTTACCACTCAATGTAAGTGTAACAATGGAGGAGAGGACAGCGAGCCAACTTCACAGAAGTGACAGTGAAAACAAATCTTGACA